>NC_000006.12:1120606-1272121 GCF_000001405.40 Homo sapiens | reverse complement strand
CAATACAGAAGCAATCAAAAAATATTTTCTGTCTGTGGATGGTTGAATCCATAGATGCAGAACCCATGGATATGGAGGGCCAACTGTAATATGGGAGACAATTTTGCCTTGCTGTACCTGTATTGTAGTGACCCACTTTACCTGAAGACCTTAGGGGAGATCATTCTGGAGTCATGACAGCTGAGCTCAGTTAAGTGAATGTTTTCAAAATGAGGAAGGAGGAGGGCGTCTGGCCAAGGGCCATCTGCAAAACTTGGTGGTGCATTTGAGTAAGTTGTATACGGGGAATAGCATAGAGTTGTGTGGCTGGAGCCCAGTGCTTTTAGGAAAATGGGAAAGAGTGGGAAATGAGACAAGTGAAGTAGATTTTGCATCTGATGAGGAACTGCTCATATGTCTTGCTAAAGAATTTGGACTTCATCTAATGGACAGTGGGGGCTGCTGCTGGCTTTCAGCCCAGGAGTGCTATGGTGCTATATGCTTGAGGTCACACCGTTCTCCCCAGTCCCACGGCAGGTGGAGACCTTGAGGCCACACCGTTCTCCCCAGTCCCGCGGCAGGTGGAGACCTTGACTAGACAGCCTCCGCTTTGGCTCAGTGCTCTCTTTGTTCCATTCATCATCTGTAAAAAGGGCGTGATGTGTGAGGTTATTGAAAAGAATAAATACATGCTGCCTATAACCTACCTGAAAAACTCTAAGTGCGATGTAAAATGGTCATTGTTCTTAGTAAAGGAATTACAATGGCAATTGCCTAATTCCAAGCACGGCTGGATCCTAGCCCTTCCAGTTAGCCAATAACAGGGGCAGTGAGTTTGGACGAACAACTTTGTGCCCAGGTGCAAGTTTTCTGAATGTGTCAGACAGAGCACATAGAAAAATGAGGCCAAGTTGACTGTCGTTAAAGTTTGTCTTAAATATTTGATAATGCCCAGCCTGAGGGAATGTTTTCCTTCCCATTATTTATATATTACTTGCTTAAGATGTATTCCTATTCATTTCATAATTTCAGAGGCATCTCACTGTTGGGAAATTCTCAAATTCCAAAGCCTGTGAGCAGAGAAGGCAGCAGTTGATGGTACCCACAAGAGATCTTCAGGGGCCCCATTTGCTTCTTGAAATGCCAGGTTTAATCTTATGCCTAGAGGTTGGGTCTGTGGCCAGGGGAAGGGTCAGCTCTGGGCATGCATGCTGAGGAGGGCCGGCCCCACAGGAGTGAAATGAACAATGCCATCCTTCCCCAAGGAATTCTGCCCTAGGACCCAAAGGCAACAGATGCAGTGGCGTGCTGGTAAATGGTCACCAAATGTCTCCCAGCACGTGGTTCCCGTGTGAATGTTGGTTGATATTTTGTTTATTAATGTTTGTTAATGGTCATTGTTTTCATCATTAATTTTATATAAATTTTTTAGTTAATTGGTACTCTTGGTTTTTCTTAAAATTCTGTAGGCAGAATTTTCACAGATCATTGTATTTGAAGAGACCTCCACGAAGAATCAGCAGTTTTTACTGCAAGGTAGATTATTTAATAATTTCAGAGAAGGGTCTCATTATAAGGGACACAAGGCTGCCTTCCTCTCACTGGGCATCTCCCTAAATGCCTGGTGGCCCTCAGGAAGTCAGTGCATGTTCAAGTGTTCTTCAGTTAGCAAGTGAGATGAAGGTGAAACAATGAAGACACGATATGAACAGCCTCTTTGCAGAATTCAACAGTGGCTTTCAAATTCTGGAGGAATATCTCCTTAGCTATTTTGTGCTATTCACAATGTGATGTCCCCAGACAAGATACATTTTAAAATTCAGTCTCCAATCTATTATTTTAATAGCTTAATCTATTAACACTTTATCACTATCTTATGTCTAGACAATTGACAAAACAACAAACCAGGCCCTGATTTGTAGCATGTGACATTTTTCATGGTGTAAATGTTCCCATGCATGCACGGGTGATCTCAAGTGACTGTCCACAACCAGTGCACAGATTCTTGAAAATGTAACAGTTGGCTCTCCTGAGCCCACAGGAGCTGGTTGCAGACTACCACCCATGCAGGTAGAAATTAAAACTTTTTGAGAGCTAGTGACAGACAGGATCTTAGTTTCCATGATTTGAAAGAATCATGGACATTTGGAACAGCAGAGGAATACTGTGGGGAGCTGAGGGGAGGAAAATAACTGCATACACGATGGTGTTTAGCAGGAAAACCACCCCACTCTGTAAGGGATAATCAAATACATAACAATAGAAAAGAGAAAAGTGCAGAACTGCATAGACCTCAGAAGTAGCAAGATGCAGAGGGAGTCAGCCTGTTTAGGCTCTTTTTTAAAAATAAAATACTTGCTAAAGCTCTTCTCGGGCCATAGGTCCCAAGGTTTCCAGTATTTTTGACAGATGCTAATCCTTCTAATGCCCTGGGAGGCGCTGGCATCATTTATATGTTGAAGATGAGAAAATTGAGAAGGGTCTTGTGATTTGTGCTGAGGTTAAGGAGTCAAAGTCAGAGATGAGAAAAGATTTTATTATTTTAGGCTATTTGAGTCACTCTTTGTTAATGGAAACAAAACAAAACCCCACTTAGTAATCAAAGCACCACAGGCTTAGCGAAAAACGTTTAATTTGTGGGAACTCCCATTGGATATGTTGGTGAGCTAGGTAGGAACGCATTAAACCTGGTCAGGAATGAGGGGAGGAGAGCCTGGACCATGCTGGCTTGAGCTCCCTACCCTCAGTGGGGCAAGGGGAATACCTCCCAGGGTTTCCTGTTTCTTCCCCGTCATGTTGAAGTTCATCTGCCAATTTTTGAAGCCCTTCATAATCCAGGCCCATCACACTTCTTGGTGGGCACCAATGCTCAAAAAGCCCTGATGACTCTCCCACAGATAGGCTGGGCTCATCCCCTCTTGGCGCATACTACCAGCTAGTAAGGAAGAGAGCTCTGTCCACAGCGCATGCTAAGGGTGCCTGTGCAGTGTCCCATTTCATTCTCATACAAACAAATTGAGGTTGTTACTATCATTGTCCCACTTTATAGAGGAAATGGAGGCAGGGAGCCTCCACCCAGCTTACCTAAGCTCATGTAGTTAGTAAAACCTTTTACTAATAAGTAAACAAGCTTTTTACTAGCAAGCCTTTTAACACAGGACTAAATGTTCAAAATTAGGCTCACAATGCTGCATTCCATGTCCTGCAGTTCATGGAGTTCCTTTCCCCATTACTTTCCCTCTCAATCCAAGCCTGTCCCTCTTTTGGGCTCCCAAATGCTCAAGATCCTCATCAGTGTTCCATACAGCTACCTTCAGGAAAAGAGCTCCCATCCCATCTCTTCTGGGTTACTTGAGAAATTTGTCTATAGTGTGCAACTGTCATCCAAATGTGTCCTCTCTTGCCTGATATAGTATCCTATGCAGTGCTTCTCCAACAAAGCTATAAGCTCTTTAGGGAAAACAAGCATGTCTTCATTTCCCATAGCAGGGCTGTAGATAGACACTCAACACATACTCGGTGATGGATCGATTCAGGTCCAAGTCCAGCACCGTTTATTTACTTAGCATCTATAGCACCAGGCGTCAGACTGCGGATACAGAGATGAAAGACATTCCCTCTATCAAAGAACTTCAAATTCCAGTGGAGCAAGCCGATTAGCCAACAGTTACAATGCAATGTGATTAGCATGACCAAGGAAGGCCCAGATGAGGAGAGTCCTCTGGGAAGGGCTCGGTGAGAAGCTCACTTTTAAACCAGCCCAGCCTTTTGTTCTTTTTTTTCCAGAGACATGGTCTTGCTCTGTTGTCCAGGCTGAAGTGCAGTGGCATTATCATAGCTCACTGCAGCCTTGAACTCCTGGGCTCAAGTGATCCTCTTGCCTCAGCTTCCCAAGTAGCTGGGACAATAGGTGTGCACCACCACACCCAGCTAATTTTTAATTTTTTTTTTTTTTTTTTTGTAGAGACAGGGTTTCACTATGTTGCCCAGGCTAGTCTCGAACTTCTGGGCTCAAGCGATCCTCCCACCTTGGCCTCCCAAAGCTCTGGGGTTATAGGCATGAGCCACCGTGCCCGGCCCAGCTAAGCCTTGAAGGATGAGAGGAAACCAGAGTTCATCAGGAGGAGGCTGGGGAAAGCTAGGGCCCGGCACACAGTGCACGTTCTGAAGCTCAATGCATCTCCTGGGGTATTTCACCACATCTTCCTCGATGTGGCTTTCAACTACATTTAAGACCGAATTCTGCTTTCTTTCTATTATATTCATGAAAGTGTGGGGCCTGTTACTCAAGGGCCAGCAGTGATGTGAGGAATGCCAGGGCCGAGCTCACAGAGGAAGCGAGGCGGCAGAGCTCCATGCTCCACCTCCAGGGTCTCAGTGCCTTTTTTCCTGTGCAAAGTCGATATCCACTGAGAGACTTCAGCGTTTGCCCCTAAGGCTCAGATAGGCCACAGTGATTTTTTTTTCCCTATGAAATTTAAAAACAATCAATGTCCAGGGTGGACTTGGGGAAATCCTGTTTCATATTTTATCCTGAATGACTTCAAAACAAACCTGCTTTTATCTCTAAAACATTCCTTTCAGTTAAACACCTTGTGGGGCGCTTTATTGCTCAGTCTATTCACAATGGCAGTTTTTATAGAGACCCTTATTTTCAAAGAAATGCACACTGCCTGTTTACCTAATGGGCCAGACAATGACTAAGGGGCAAATTACATAAAGATCATTACGCGGACTTAGCATGTGCTCTCGTCCTGTGACTCACAGGGCAACTTGTTTGTGTTGCATTTATGGGCAGAGGTGCTTTAAAAAACATTTGATAGAGCAAGAATTGTGAAAGAATGCCAGTCATCGAAAACTTCTGCCCAAAGAGGGATGCTTTGACGGCTAGAGACAATGCTGTTGAAATCAAAAGTGTGCTGGGGTGCCACAGAGCTTTCCACAGCCCGACTGCCTCAACATGGTCCTTGATCCTCTGGGAGAGCAAATTCCAGGCTTAAACAGAAACCACCACTTTAGAAGTAGCCCAACTTCTCTCAAAGCACCAGCATTTATAATGCTTATCCTTGGCTGGGAGACCAGGATGGGGAAGAAACACCTTTTGTGATGCTGAGGAAGTAGTGAATAAAAGTGTTCCTGACTTCCATGGGGGATTTTTTAAAAATAGCTGGTGCTATTTTTTTTTTTCCTTTGAGACAGGGTCTTCTTGCTTTGTTGCCCAGGTTGGAGTGCAGTGGCTCACTGTAGCCTCAACTTCCTGGGCTTAGATGATCCTCCTATCTCAGCCTCCCGAGTAGCTTGTACTACAGGCAGATGCCACCATGCCCAGCTGATTTTCTGTAGAGACAGGGCCTCGCCATGTTGCCCAGGCTGGTCTCTAACCTCTGGGCTTAAGCAATCCTTCTGCCTTGACCTCCCAAAGTGCGGGGATTACAAGTGTGAGCCATTGTGCTGGCCCTACTGATGCTATTCTTTTTAATTATGGTAATATATATATAATATAAAATTAACCATTTAATCATTTTAGGCACACAGTCCAGTGGTGTTAAGCACATTCACACTGTGGGAAACCGTCACCACCATCCGTCTCTGGGCTTTTTAGTCTTGTGAATGGAAACTCTACCCATTGAACAATAACTCCTCCTCTCGTGACCCTGGCAGCCTCCACTGTACTTTCTGTCTCTATGGATTTGCCTACTTTAGTGCTTCCTATAAGAGGAATCACACAGCGCTCATCCTTTTGTGACTGGCTTATTTCACTGAGCACTATGTCTTCAAGGTTTATCCAGTGGTAACCCATGTCAGCGTTTCCTTCCTTTTAAAGGCTGAATCATATTCTGTTGTGTGGATGGACCACAGTTTGTTTGTATCTGTTAATGAACACTTGGGTTGCCCAGGGGGTAGATTTCTATTCCGTATCTTAACAGTTGAATGAGCGTGTAGGGCCATGAGTGTCAGGTGTGCTTGGCAATTTGCAACCCCGCCACCAGCTTTTTGCTGCCGAGCCTCCATGGTGTTTGAGTAGCACGTCCTTTAGGAATCACACCTGCAGCTTATGTCGAGTCCATCCCACTCCTGGATGGATCTCTCCTACCTGCAAGACGATTGGCATCACAGGTGTTTGCTGGTGGTGCTCGTTCCAGTGTAAGGTCAGTGGCCTACAAGGAAAGGAAGCTCTTTCCACCTTGGCCTCGAGTGTTGCTCTGTTCTTTCAGCTGTGCTCAACAGCTAGGAAGAGTCCAGGCTGGGACCACTGGGACCCGTACCCTTGCTCCTTCTTCCCCTTCATTCCATGGAGTGCTTTCCCTCTGCAAAGATCACATTTACAAGACTTCTGTGCAAATGAAATGACTTGATTTGGAATTTCTTTGTGATTAGGAAGATATTTCAATGTTGTTTTAACTCTTGACCTCAGGCTAACATGTAGGAGCCAGGATTCAGTTAATCCATTAATGCCTATAAGAGAAAGTTCTAATTTACTTTTGAAATACATTGCAAATGTGCCTTGTACTAACCTTCCTAATTATTATTTTTTCCTTATAGACTAAGAGTGAAATTAGCATTTGCATTTTCTAAATGAATTGGTGGACAGAGAAAGGAAGTCAGTGACATCCTTGGGTATGAGAAAAGTCAGCCCAGAGTTGGGGGGGCTTATAAAATTGGGAATGGCTGGAATGGAAAACCCGTTGGGTTCCACCTAGCGCCCTCCCCCTCCCCACAGACTTCCCCTACCCAGAGAGTGGCTGGAACACACCAGACCCTCCACAACAGCATTTTTAAGGCAGCTTTCAGGTATTCAGAGAAAGACAGACTCTGCGATGCAAGTTTTGGAAATTTGGTTCCACAAAGTTAGTTTTTCTTTTTTCTTTCCTGGAGCAGAACGCCTCATAATTGCTCATTCAGCAATTTTCACTGGGTGTGGACTGTGTGCAGGCTTTGTATAAGAAACACCAGTATGTTCCTGCCTTCCTGGAGACTGAAGTCTGGTGCAGCTCATAAGATGCTAATTTCAAAGGGGGTGATAAAGTAGGCAGGGTCCCCAAAATGCTTAACAATGAAAGGAGACTCTCTTGGGAAAACATTTCCTTTCACACGTGACTCGTGGGGTGCACTTTGTATTTGTGTTTTGTTTTAGAGACAGGATCTCTGTCACCCAGGCTAGAGTGCAGTATCACGATCATGGCTTACCTCAGCCTTGAACTCCTGGGCTCAAGTGATCCTCCCACCTCAGCCTCCAGAGTAGCTGGGACTACAGGTACATGCCACCACACCAAGCTAACTTTAAAAAATGTTTTTGGTAGAGATAAGGTCTCATTATGTTGCCTGGGCTGGTCTCAAACTCCTGGGCTCAAGCTATCCCATCACCTCAGCCTTCCAAAGTGCTGGGATTACAGGTGTGAGACACTGCGCCTGCCGGTGCCCTTCGGATGGCACTGTGGTGCAGTGAGGACGTTAAGTAGAAACTCGGTGCCATTATGGTAATAACTAGCACATGTCAAGCAGGCTGCATGTGCCATTTCTCACCATCATCCTGATGGTTGGAAATACTTTCATTTTACAGCTAAGGGGACTAGAATTCAGAGCACTTAGGTAACTAGTCCTAGGCCATCTGTTTTGTTTGGTAACAAGGAAAGCCATGATTGGCATCCAAGTCTATTTGGGTCCAACACCATTGTTCTTCCATTTTCTTTCCCTAATTCTCTCCCTGAAAAGTTTACGTCTTGGGTTAAAGAAACCTCAATTCTAGTCCTGACCTGTCTGCTAATTAGCCCAGCAATCTTGACCCCTTCAAATTCTCAGAGTTTGAATCCTTAACTCTAAACACAAAGAGTTAAAAGGTCTGTGCTTACAGTATGTTGTTAGGACAGATTAAGTAAGGTGTGCTCTGCCACTTTGAAACATACACAATATGTACAGTGCTATCTGCATTCCAAGCGTCAAATATTATTTGCTGAAGCAGTTCAAAGGGTTGGCCGTGTTCGATTCAGCTGGATCCAACATGTGGACGGTATGTGTAGCCTTCTTGAGGCCAGCTGTGCTGCTCATGTCGTGGAGCACTGAAGTGGACAGTGTTCCTTCAAGATCCCCACCGAGGAGGCTCTCCTCCTCTCAGGCTGCACCTGACAATGACCTCAGCCTTCAGAACCACTCGTTAAAGGATTTTTTTAAAGAGTGGCAACACCCGAAAGCTCGTTTATTACTGTCTCTGCCTCCTGGCGATGATGCCACCTACACACTGAAGAATGATGGCAAAAATAACACACAACAAACCAGGGAAAAAATGTAAAAGGACCCCTCTGTGCTGAAGGCAGAGATTACTGACCTATTTGTAATAATTTTAGATGGCACTCTGATCAGGAAGATTGTGGTTTTGCAAACACAGAGGGTTCTTACATCACTATTATATGGGGAGCCCTTCTTTCCTCTGGAATCCAAACTGATAAGCGGCATGTTTGTTGGTCTACGGGAGGATTATGGGCTCCGTAGTTTTTTTCCTTTGGTTTGATTGGAATGCTTTACTGGATTGGAATGAACAGGCTGGAATTCTGTGGCTGTAGTGGAGTCCTTCAGCACCATAAATTCATAAAGCTGACCCCAAGAGACCTGAGAGCCAGTGCTTCCTGTTAGCTTTGGTGGAGACTAGGGAGAGGTGGCAACAGCCCTGCAGGGAGCCAAGAGGGGAAGAAAAGGTAGGCGAGGGCCTACCTCCCTGTTTCAGGGAGCGGGCAAGGAGTGCCGAAGATGAGAAAGGGCTGGGGACTGTGCTTGCAGTAGAGTGGACAAGTTCCTCCTTGGGGACCGTGTAAGGACAGCAGCTCTGGAGTGCCCCCTGCCTTCCGCCTTGACCTCCCAAAGTGCTGGGATTACAGGTGTGAGCCACTGGAGGATAGAGGCCTCTGTCCTCCATAAGCCCAGGAAGCAAAGGGCAGGCTAGCTCCCATAGATCATGCCCAGATGAGTCTTGGGGTGTCAGAGCCTAGAGGCCTCATCAGGGACCATCCCCTGCTTTAAATCGGTCTTTCATGTGGCAGGGTTGACCAGCAGGGCATGGGCACATTCATCAATATTTGCTAGAGCGGCGGGGCCATTGTGGCACACGCACAACACCAGGTTCACAGGCACAAATCATGTGAAAGCAAATTCATCTTTCTTCTGACGGGGCCACTAGACTGGTAGGTCAAGGAAATGCTGGAGCCACAGTGGTTGCATCTGGCACAGTCTCTCGTGATGATATCCTTGTGTACAAAATAAAGGCATGTGGGCCAGAGGTGGTTGGGGTGGCCGTTCCCTGGCAGGTCCAGGGAATACACCCAACAAAGGCTGGTCTAAGCCATGGCCAGCAGCGGCTTTCACAGACACTTCTGGTGCTGAGCTGCGAGCCTTAACTGTGTCCTGCTCAGTGGTAAACCACACGTTTTGAAGGACAGTCAGGATCAGGAGCCGAAAGGGCCTCACAGCACAGGTTAGAAGAAAAGGCTGAACAAGACAGAAGGCCATTTTATTTTCTAATTTTTATTTATTTTTCATTGTATATTTTTAAGGCATGCAACATGATGTTTTGATATATGTATGCATAGTGAAGTGAATGCCACAGTCCAGCCAGTTAACATATCTGCTATCTCATGTCATCACCGTCTTTTGCAATAAAAGTGCCTAAAATTGACTCTCTTGCCAAATATCCAGAGTATAAAATACAATATTCTTATCTATTAATGTCTACAATATTATTATCATATTGTATTAGAATGACATTTTAAAAGGTTAAATAAAAAGGCTCTTCACTTGGGCTCAAAGAATTAACTGCACTAGTACCCCAAGGGTGCCATGGCGCTTAGTAGCAGTGAGGATGACGAGAATCCAGGGCTTAGGGCAGGAGGTGGTTTTCATATGTTTGTTCCGTCCATCTTTGGCTACATTATGGTGGAATATTTCCTAGAATGCTGCACTGCCTCGCCTTCTCTGGGCTAGGGTAACCACTTTTGGAGTACTGGCATTCAGTTTTAGGCATCATATTTAAGAAGACAAAGACAGAATAGACCCAAAGCACAGGGACCAGATTGCAAAAGGCCCTGACACTGCCTCCAGAAGAATGACAGAGAACCTAGAGGGTTCACAGCTACTATCGACTCTGAGGACCAAGGAAAACAGGGCAAAGCTTGTGTTGTAAGACTACAAGGGCAGAAGTGGGGTGGAAACTAAGAAATTCTCCAGCATTCAGAGCTGTCCAAGGCAGGATGGGCTGTCCTGGGAAGCAATGAGATCTCATCACTCAGAAGCTTGGAAGTAAACTGGGCCTGCACCTGCTGCATGTGGAAACAGTGCTTTAAGTATTTTAGGGCTGGTTTGTCTGGGCCATTCCTCCAAACCCTGGGATTCTATGAGTCCATGACGAGTCAAGAAACTGAGGATCTAACCTTAGCTTTGCCACAAACTATCTTAGTGACCTTAAGCAGAACATTTCAATCCTCTCCATCTCATTTTTATCCTCTGCTAAAATAAGAAGTTGGACAGGATTCCCTACAATGTTTCATTAATTCATATATTCTACCACCTTTATCACCATGTGCTGCAGTCTCTGCAAAGTGCTGATAGTTTGTGATCTCCTCCTTCTTTCATGTACACCAAGAAAGGGGTTTAGGAGATAATGTCTTAACTGACATTGTAAGACCTGCACCCAAGGTCCCGCCATTTCTTTTGGACGTTGGCCTCTTTCTATTTGGATTCCTCTTCTTCTGTATTTTGAGATCAATTGCAGCAGACTGGGAGGGCAACCACATTAGGAGCACCCCCTTCTCCTTGGGGGATACATCCCAAGACCCCCAGTGGATGCCTGAAACCATGGATAACACGGAACCCTATATATTGTATGTTCTCTGTTGTTTCCTATACATACATACCTATGATAAAGTTCAATTGATAAATTAGGCACAATAAGAGGTTAACAACAATAACTAGTAATGAAATAAAATAATTATAACAATAAATTGTAATAGCTATTACATATTATTACGCGTGTGATTGTGGTCTCCCTCTCAAAATACAGGCAGACCTCAGTTATATTTGCTGGGTCTCCCTCTCAAAATACAGGCAGACCTCAGTTATATTGCTGAGTCTCCCTCTCCAAATACAGGCAGACCTCAGTTATATTGCTGGGTCTCCCTCTCCAAATACAGGCAGACCTCAGTTATATTGGTGGGTCTCCCTCTCCAAATACAGGCAGACCTCAGTTATATTGCTGGGTCTCCCTCTCCAAATACAGGCATACCTCAGTTATATTGCTGGGTCTCTCTCTCAAAATACAGGCAGACCTCAGTTCCATTTGCTGGGTCAGTTTGAGATCACTGCAGCACAGTGAGCATCACAGTAAAGCGAGTCGTACAAACTTTTGGTTTCTCAGTGCATATAAAAGTCATGTTTACACTGTACTGTAGTCTATTAAGTGTGCAACAAATAGCAGTATGTCTAAAAATGTACTTAAGTTAATTAAAAATACAAAAATTAGCAGGGCGTGGTGGTGGGCGCCTGTAGTTACTCGGGAGGCTGAGACAGGAGACCGGCGTGAACCCGGGAAGCGGAGCTTGCCGTGAGCCAAGTTTGCGCCACTGCACTCCAGCCTGGGCAAGAGAGCGAGACTCTGTCTCAAAAAAAGAAAAGAAAAGAAAAGAAATAACCGACCAAATAGAGTAGAAGCTACAACCCTTCACATAAACCATCGTTAATGCCTTCAAAGGGAAGAAAAACAACAGGAAAGAAGAATTAAACACTCAAACAAATTAGAATAACTTCTTAAAATATTCTTAGAATCATTTTTACTTATTTTCTCTGCTGACATAAGCCTTACCATCGCTTTCTAGAACCACGGGCTCTCCCCTGTAGTAAAAATTACAGTAGCAGTCAGGTGCGGTGGCTCACACCTGTTGCTCACACTTTATTGCTAAAAAATGCTGATTATCTAAGCCCTTCAGTGAGTCACAATCTTTTTGCTGGTGGAGGGTCTTGTCTCGCTGTTGTTGGCTGCTGACTGATCAGGGTGGTGACTGGGGTGGCTGTAGCAATTTCTTAAAATAAGACAACAAAGAAGTTTGCCTCAGCGATGGACTCTTCCTTACATGAAAGATTCCTCTGTTGCACGTGATGCTGTTTGATAGCATTCTGTCCACAGTAGAACTTCTTTCAAAACTGGAGTCAATTCTTTCAAACCCTGCCACTGCTTACTCAACTGAATTGATGTAATATTAATATTCTAAATCCTTTGTTGTCATTTCAACAATGTTCACAGCATCTTCACCAAGAGTAGATTGTGCTTCAAGAAACCATGTTCTTTGCTCATCTATAGAAGCAACTCCTCATCCATTCACATTTGTTCATGAGATTGTGGCAATTCAGTCACATCTTCAGGCTCCACTTCAAATTCGAGTTCTCTTGCTATTTCCATCACATCTGCAGTTCCTTCCCCCACTGGAGTCTTGAACCCCTCAAAGTCATCCATCAAGGTTGGAATCAACTTCTTCCAAACTCGTGTTAATGTTGATATTTGGACCTCCTCCCATGAATCATGAATATTCTAAATGGCATTTACAATAGTGAATCCTTTCCAGAAGGTTCTTAATTTACTTTTCCCACATCCATGAAAGGAATCACTATCTATGGTAGCTACAGCCTTATGAAATGTATTTCTTAAATAATAAGGCTTAAAAGAAGAAGTTATTACTTGATCCATGGGCTGCAGAATGGATGTTGTGTTAGCAGGCATGAAAACAATGTATTAATCTTCTTGTACGTCTACATCAGAGCTCTTGAGTGAATAGGTGCCTTGTGAATGAGCAGTAGTATTTTGAAAGAAATCTTTTTTTTCTGAGCAGTAGTTCTCAACCATGAACTTAAAATACTTACAATACCATCCTATAAACAAATGTGCTGTCATTCAGGCTTTATTTTTCCATCAATAGAACACAGGCAGAATAGATACAGCACAATTCTTAAGGGTCCTAGGATTTTCAAAATGGTAAATGAGCATTGGCTTCAACTTCAGGTCTCCAGCTGCATTAGCTCCTGGCAAGAGAGTCAGCCTGCCCTTTGAAGCTTTGAAGCCAAGCATTGACTTCCTCTATTCTAGCTAGGAAAGTCCTAGATGGCATCGTCTTCCAACAGGAGGCTGTTTCATCTATACTGAAAATGTATTGTTTAGTGTAGCCTCCTTCATCAGTGCTCTTAGCTAGACCTTCTGAACAATTTGCTGCAGCTTCTCCATCAGCACTTGCTACTTCACCTTGCACTTTTATGTTATGGAGATAGCTTCTTTCCTTAAACCTCATGAAACAACCTCTGCTAGCTTCTAACTTTTTTTCTGCAGTTTCCTCACCTCTCTCAGCCTGTACAGGATTGCAGACAGTTAGGGCCTTGCCCTGGATTAGGCTTTGGCTTAAGGGAATGTTATTAATGGTTTGATCTTCTATACAGACCATTCCGAATTCCTCCATATCAGCAATAAGGCTGTTTCACTTTCTTATAATTCGTGTGTTCACTGAGTAACATGTAATTTTTTTAAAGAGTTTCTCTTTGAATTCACAGTTTGGCTAACCGGTGCAAGGAATCAAGCTTTTGGCCTATCTTGGCTTTTGACATGCCTTCCTCACTAAACTTCATCATTTATAGCTTTTTATTTAAAGTGAGAGACATGGGACTCTTCCTTTCACTTGAATACTTAGAGGTCATTGAAGGGTTACAAATTATCCTAATTTCAAAATTGTTGTGTTTCAGGGAAGAGGGAGGCCTGAGAGGTGGGAGAGAAATGGAGAAAGAGACGGTTGCTGGAGCAATCAGAATGCACACATCCCTGTCTTCTATAGTTGGGGTTTGTGGTGCCCCAAAACAATTACAATAGTAACATCAAAAATCACTTGATCGCAGATCACCATATCAGATATAACGAAAAAGCTTGAAATATTGCAGGAGTTACCAAACTGTGACACGGAGACACGAAGTGAGCACATCCTGCTGGAAACATGGTGCAGAGAGACTTGCCCGACTCAGGGTTCCCACAAATCTTCAGTCTGTAAAAAATACAATAGCTGCAAAGTGTGACAATGTGAAGCACAAGGAAACAGGGTGTGCCTTTGCTGTGATATTTTCAGATAGCGATGACCTCAGGTGGCTGAAACCTCAGAAAGTGAAACCGTGGATGAGGGGTTACTGTTGTTTTTTTTGTTTTTTGAGGTGGAGTCTCGCTCTGTTGCCCAGGCTGGAGTGCAGAGGTTCCATCTGAGCTCACTGCACCCTCCTCTGCCTCTGGGGTTCAAATGATTCTCTCAGCCTCTGAAGTAGGTGGGATTACAGGTGTGCACCACCATGCACGTCCAATTTTTGTAATTTTTAGGAGAGATGGGGTTTCACCATGTTGGCCAGGCTGGTCTCAAACTCCTGAGCTCAAATGATCTGCCCGCCTTGGCCTCCCAAATTGCTGAGATTACAGGTGTGAGCCACCACACCTGGCTGCTACTGTAATTTTTACTGTAGTGGAGAGGCCGTGGTTCTAGAAAGCCATGGTAAGGCTTATGTCAGCAGAGAAAATAAGTAAAAATGATTTTAAGAATATTTTAAGAAGTTATTCTAATTTGTTTGAGTGTTTAATTCTTCTTTCCTGTTGTTTTTCTTCCCTGTGAAGGCATTAACGATGGTTTATGTGAAGGGTTGTAGTTTCTACTCTATTTGGTGGGTTATTTCTTTCTTTTTTTTTTTTTTTTTTTTGAGACAGAGTCTCACTCTGTTGCCTGGGCTGGAGTGCAGTGGCATGAACTCGGCTCACTGCAAGCTCCGCTTCCCAGGTTCATGCCATTCTCCTGTCTCAGCCTCCCGAGTAGCTGGGACTACAGGCGCCTGTCACCACTCCCGGCCAATTTTTGTATTTTTAGTAGAGACAGGGTTTCACCGTGTTAGCCAGGATGGTCTCGATCTCCTGACCTCGTAATCCGCCCACCTCGGCCTCCCGAAGTGCTGGGATTACAGAGTGAGCCACCGCGCCCGGCCTTGGTGGGTTATTTCAATGCTCATATCTGAATTCCACCCATTCCCTTATGCTGATTGCTCTCTTGCAAAGGAAGCTGGTGGCCACTAGTGCTGGCCAGCCTGTCCCTTGGGGCCATTTCCTTTTGGTGGGCAGTGCTAAATTGAGTCCTATATCTCGGTAAAAGTAATCAGGGCCAATGTCCAAGTGATTTAAAGTCCAATGGAGGTCAAAGAAGAAGCACAGTTTGGAATGAGGCCCAGCTCATTGGGATGGGCAGTGGGGGGCAGTCTGAATGTGTGTGTCCATGGGTCCGTGCATGTGCACATGTGTGTATGCATGTGTGTGTGTCTTGGGGGTGGCACTCCTGTGGTAGTTTTTATGTGTTCCCAGAGTACTGCTTGGGTGAGCTGCCTTCTTTCAGAGAGTCTGGGCCAGGTCCGCCCCCAGGTGGATGTTGGTTCATCTGGTGACGGCATTGTGTGAATAAGGCTGAAGATACACACATCCGCCCTGCAGAGCCCCTGCCATCAATTCGCTGCGAAACTCAGCTTCTTTCTAAGAATGCCAGCTCCATGAGAATTAGGAATGAAATAAGCAATTGCGAAAGACACTTTATATGCCACCCCCCAGGCAAGCCAAACACTCAGAAGCAACTGTACAAGGTTGTCCTCTTTGATCAAACACAAAACATTACAAAAGCTGATGAAACTGGTAACAGAATTGAAAGTTATCTTGACTTGTGAGAAGTCACATTCATTTTTTTTTTGATTGCTGACCTCAACACCAGAGATATGAAGAATACTTTAAACAAGACCCTTCTGGGTGAAGGAAGAGATGCATATCCAGCCATATACATTTCCATTCTTTCCCTGATAACCTGGCATCCTCCTGGTCCTGAGTGTTCTATAAAAGCCACCTTTCGAAGGCTGTCATCCTGACAGAAGGGCCATCTGAGATAACACCAGTTTCCAGCAGCTCCTGGGATGCCGCTGAGAGGGTGCCCAAAGAAAGCAGGTGGCTTCCATCAGCATGGAGCCCCGAAGCAGAGGGGTTCACATATGGTGTCTCAACTGTTAGTGCTTTTTGTACTCCATGATTTATGCTTAGAAATGGGAAAAAAACAAAAACAAAAACAACAAAAAAAATCGTCCTCCTCCCGAGGCATCTGTGATTGGCAGCTCCTCTTAGGACTCTTAAGACCGGACTTCATGGGAAGGCGCAGCGCATCTGACAAGGAGAGGATGTAACTGTTTCTTCACTGCTTCCAGCAGCTTGTGATGATGTCATAGCTAAATTATTTGGGGAGCTCTTCAGTTTGTCAAATGCATCAGCTTCTGGTTCAGGCTTCACTTGGCAAGAATTTTTGGATGCTTTTAAAGAGAATGTTGCCCATTGGCTATGATCCCCAGCAAAAATAAGAAAACATAATGATGACATATCAGCATGGGCATTCCCAAATGCACTCGACAGCTGCCATCAGATTACCTGCAGCAGCAAAATGTACAAATGAATACCTTAACAATTGATCAGAGCAGAGTGGGCTGTCTCACAAACATTGATTTACATAGAGAAACAGCACAATACATTCAGAAGTTTGTGTAGGGAGTCTTGTTATAATTGATTGTTTCACATAATTTGACCAATTTCATGTGCAGAATGGTGGTGGGGTTGCATAAATGAGTCAGCGGATGCCACATCTGCACACTAGGATTGGACTCCTGTCCCTAAACCATCTTTACTGATCTACTTGCCTTGCTGGGTTGTTGTGAAGATTAAATGCGATCCTGTGTTAATGTGCTTTGTAAATTGCAGCGCACGGTGCCAACATCGGTTACTATTATTATCCTCAGACAGGAAAACTGACCCTGGAGAAAAGGTGAGACAGAGCTTCCGGAAAGATCACTTCTCTGCCTGGATGTAGCACTGGCCCACCGTTTACGGGAAGATATTTACCTGCCACGGATCTCCCTCGGGACAAAATAGCCTGTCCTTTGGGATGTAATCGGTACTGGAAAGAGCAAGGGAGTGGAAAGATGCAGCAGAGAAAGGCTGCTGTGAAGGGAGACCCAAGCATAGTTTCAGAAGGTGAAGTTGAGGGGTGGGGAGCGGGGAGCTGCAGCTCCAGGAAAGCAGGAAGAAGCTCTGACCACAGACAAGCTTTTTGGGCAGAAAGACCCCATGCTGGAGAAGTGAACTGCTCAGGCTCTTGTAAGCTTAGCTCACACACTGAACACATATTTATCAAGCATCAATGCTGCGGTCTCCCTCGTTCTGGTATCATGGTGGAAAGCCATCTTACAAACAATCTCACTGTCTTCACTCTGACTTTGACTCAGGAGGCCAGCCACTGAGTAGCAATTCAGTTTCCATTCTAGGCCCTGTCACCATGAGGGTGGTTCTGGGGCAAAAGTCCCTCCAGATTTCAGGAGAGTAGAAGATCAGTCCACTGATGAATGAATAGTGATAACCCAGTTGGCAGCAGCTCTCCCGGATCCTTCCAAATGTCCTCCTCTGGCTCATCTTCAAATGCCCACCAAGACAATTATTTGATAAGCGGATTGTCTGCTAGGGCTGCCATAACCAAGTCCTAGAGACTGGGGACTTAGACCACAGACATGTATTTTCTGACAGTTCTGGAGGCCGGAAGTCCAAGATCCAGGTGCCACAGGGTTGGTTTCTCCTGAGGCCTCTCCATGGCCTGCAGATGCTGCCTTCTCCCTGTGGCCTCACAGGGACTTCCCTCTGTGTGTATCTGTGTCTTCACCTCCTCTTCTTATAGGGACATGCGTCATATTGGATCAGGGCCCACCCTTATGAACTCATTTAACCTTAATTACCTCTTTAAAGACCCCGTCTCTAAATGCAACCACATTCTGAGGCACCGTGTGCTGCAGCTTCGATATAGGAATTTTAGGGGAAGATAATCCAGCCTGGAACACTGTGTGAAAACTCCAGCTATTAATCTGTTGTCTATGTCAAACTGCTTATTTGACGGGACTTCAGCCCCCCTCCCCACCGCCTTCATTCCCCGGTTTCCCTGTGCCAATCTGGCTGCTGGTTAGTGCCCTGGGGCTGCACAGGGGTAGACAGCATGGTGGGAGGAGGCGAACTGGGCAGGGGGTTGACCCCGACAGGTGGAGGAGTGTCAAACAGATTAGGTCGCGGATGAAAGGAGGACAGAGCCACTCTTTAGGCCAGCAGAGATCCCTTCAAGTGTGTGCAAATGGATTGCAGCTCCCATAGCAGGAGACGACACTGTGGTTGCATCATGGCAAGTGCCACCCTTGGCCTCAGATGGGAGTTCCTTCTGTGCGTGGTATTTTTGTTAATAGCCTGAAACATTTCTTGAAAGGGCTGTCAGAATCCTAAGATGGTCAGGACAGGATCTCAAGGGCCAGGAAAAGGGCTACAAGGCTCCCAAACCTGGAGCCTTAAATGGACTTGTGCTTGCCAAAGCCAGACAAGAGAAAGTTTGCTGAGATTATCCACAATGTGGCTGAAGGAACAAGTGAACAGTGTATATTTTTGTGTCTCCATCAGATATATTCCCACACATTCAATGTTGAAATAAAAGGCAAACAAAAAGTAACTAACGTTGATAAACATGTAAATGACAGTATATTCACATGTCTCCAAGTGGCTGTGGAGGCCGGCTAGTAGAACTGCCTCTTTTAGAGATTGGAAAATACAAGTCCGGGTAGTTCAAGGCCAAAGCTGCACTTGGAGTTGGTGGGTGACATGGAACTGGAACTGGAGTCTCTTGGAGTCCAACACGATTTCTAAAACCCATGTGGGGCTGGACGCGGTGGCTCACGCCTGTAATCCCAGCACTTAGGGAGGCCAAGGCGGGTGGATCATGAGGTCAGGAGATTGAGACTATCCTGGCTAACACGGTGAAATCCCGTCTCTACTAAAACAAAACAAAAAATTAGCCAGGCGTGGTGGCACACACCTGTAGTCCCAGCTACTCAGGAGGCTGAGGCAGGAGCATCTCTTGAACCTGGGAGGTGGAGGTTGCAGTGAGCCGAGATAGCACCACTGCACTGCAGCCTGGGGACAGAACAAGACTCTGTCTCAAAAACAAACAAACAACAACAACAACAAAACCACACGGGTCATGACTTTTGTCATTGGGGGGAGTTTTATTCTTCATAGCAAACTACCTCTAGGAAGTTGGGTTTTCTAATTCTCCTTGGGTCTAAACTGTGTACTCGTCACTTAAAAATTAGGCACTTTAATTATATAAAAAAGCATATGACTTGTAAACAAATTTTAAAATGAACTTAAAAATTAGCATCAGAAATCAATTCCTTTAATTCACCAGCCACTAGGTTAATTTCAGCAGAAAAATGCTTTAGTATACTCCAAATATCATACTAATTTGAGAAAGTTTCCATTATTTCTACTGTGTGTTTCTTTTTATCCTTCTTTTATTGTTTATCTCTTCACAAAAATACAGAGTGCCTTCTTTCTGTACGCCTGTTGGTGAGCATTCTAGAGAATGTGCATTAAGAAGTGCAGGACCGCTGGGCGCGGTGGCTCACGCCTGTAATCCCAGCACTTTCGGAGGCCAAGTCAGGTGGATCATCTGAGGTCAGGAGCCGGAGGCCAACCTGACCAAAACCCCATCTCTACTAAAAACACAAAAGTGAGTCTGACGTGGTGGGAGGCTGAGGCAGGAGAATCACTTGAACCCAGGAGGCGGAAGTTGCAGTGAGCCAAAATCGTGCCACAGGACTTTAGCATGGGCAACAAAAGTGAAACTCCATCTCAAAAAAAAAAAAAAAAAAAGTGCGGGATCAACTTTACAATTCAGTTTTGAAGTAATGTTCCTTTCTTCTTCATTTCTATTTCCTACTGACCTACCTGACAACTTTGTCTGAAACTACCTAACTAAACTAACATCTTTTTTTATTTAAAGTTCTTGTGTTTAGTTTTCCCTTAGCACATTTTCTTTTGTAAATAAGAAAAGATACAATAAAATACAAAAAATAAAATAATTACCTTAATCTTAACTGCTCTAACATAACTTTGCAGTTCTCAAAGAAAAAAGATGACTTCATCCATATCTAACACTCTCTTGACAATCAGCGAAAAGAAAATTTACACATCCCAAAATAAAATTACATAAACAGATTACTGAAGAAGCCAGAATTTCCAGTTTATGCACAAAATTTTCCACAGATATTAGACTCTACCCTTGTACACTAAGTAAACAGCAAATGATAAGGAATAGAAACAGTTCCTGTTTCCTTGTTGAGCAACCAAGCAACACAGAAGAAATCATTTTTGTTTAGAAAGAAAATAAAAGAAAGCAACGTTTCACAGACAGGCAGAGATGTTACCACCAAACTAAAGGCCTCTCTAAATTCTAACTTTATTCCACGTTTTGGCTCCAGATCCAACTGGGCAAGGCTTCTGGGGTAGGGCTTCTCTGAGCCTCTGTTTGACAGGCGGCCCCATTGTCAAGGGTAGAGAACCTGGAACCATCGAAATCATTCGGCAAACCGCAAGCTTCTGGGGGCCACACCCAAAGAAACAGGGCAGGAGGCTCACCAGCATAACAGGAGGTCTGAAGCCCTAGCAGGGTAATAACATAATGCACAGTGTAATTAAGCAATTACTATGAACTCAAACGAAGGGCGTTTTGTTATTGTTTTGCCGTTCCTCACCGAGTGTCAACTGTAAGCCTGGCCACAGCTGTACTAAAGCCAAACTCTACATAAACATCTACCTCTCACCCTTACCTCCCATTCCTCGTAGACAGCCAGGGGCCTGGCAAACATTCTCTCAGTCAGTTTGGGTCATAAGGTGGAGCACTGGCTTTTCCAACGACATTAGGAGGTGGTGTCCAGCCTTGGTTGTTGTAAGAGATACAAGGTCCACACCTCTCATGGTGTGAGGAAGGCTTCTCCTTGACTGAGGAAATAGACACTTGTGTCTGAAAGCCAGAGCTACTGTGATCTCCTTCCAGTTCTCGCACTCTCTTCCATTTCATGTCAAGTCTCAAGCAAGGGTCCCGGGCCCAAGAGTGCTGGCTGCCACCTCCTCTTCCGTTGCCTCTGACTCTACTCCGTGCACAAAGCCTGAGCAGCCTGGAGCACGGTGGGCTGAGCACAGGCTGCAGGGTGGGTGCTTGGATTTACACCCAGCTCCGACACCCAGGAAGCCAAGAGACGAAGGACCCACACTCCATCCTGCCCCACGGTTCCCCAGCCGTGTGATCTCAGGCTCTTCTAGAATGTAGAAATCATATTAAGCCCTGCTCAGCTCACAGCGATTTTATGGGAGTCAAGAGTAAACATCTGAAAGCACTTAGAAAATTGCATAGTGCTGCATAATATAAGGAAACTTGTCAGTGTGTCTAAATCCTACTTTCCTCCTGGTCATTTCGCCCTGCCAAGGCAAGGTTTCCTGTCTTACGGGGCTCTCTCTGCACCACTCTCTCACAGGTCAACACCTCAATGTTCCCTAGTTGGTGTGCAGGAGTTAGTTTCTTTTCTATTACCACATTATTTATTTGCAAAGGAAATCAGACTTTTTACTGCCTCTATAACCTTTAAAAGAATATCAAAAGTTTGATGAAGTCTAGTTTTTTTAAAAAACTTATGATAATTTTATTGTTTTCCACATCTCATCAGATAAATCTTTATTTCCCCAAAGTCACAAATATACTTCTATGCTCTCCTTTCAAAGCCTCATGAGATGAATGTCCCTAAAATGTTCATACTGGCCAAAGCAATTTCCAGATTCAATGCTATTTCTACCAAACTACTAATGACATTCTTCACAGGACTAGAAAAAAATACTTTAAAATTCATATGGATCCAAAAAAGAGTCTGGATAGCCAAGGCAATCCTAAGCAAAAAGAACAAAGCTGGAGGCATCACACTACCCAACTTCAGACTACTACAGGGCTATAGTAACCAGAACAACATGGTATTGGTACAAAAACAGACACATAGACCAATGGAACAGATTAGATAGCCCAGAAATAAAGCTGCACACCTGCAACCATCTGATTGTCAACAAAGCTGACAAAAAACAAGCAACGGGAAAGGACTCACTATTCAACAAATGGTGCAGGGGTAACTGGCTAGTCATATGGAGAAGATTAAAACTGGACCCCTTCCTTATACTATATACAAAAATTAACTCAAGATGGATGAAAGATTTAAATGTAAAACCCAAAACTATAAAAACTCTGGAAGATAACCTAGAAAATGCCATCTGGACATAGGAAAGGGCAAAGATTTCATGATGAAGATGCCAAAAGCAATTAAAACAAAAACAGAATTTGAAAAATGGGATCAAATTAAACTAAAAAGCTTCGGTACAGCAAAAGTAACTATCAACAGAGTAAACAGGTGACCTATAGAATGGGAGAAAATATTTGCAAATTATGCATCTGACAAAGGTCTAATATCCAGCATCTATAAGAAACATAAACAAATTCACAAGCAAAAACCAAACAATCCCATTAAAAAGTGGGCAAAGAACATGAACAGACACTTTTCTAAAGAAGACATATATGGGGCCAAGAAGCACATAGATGAAAAAAATCTCAATATCACTGATCATTAGAGATCTGTAAGTCAAAAACACAATTACCAGTTAGAATGGCTATAATCAAACAGTGAAAAAAATAACAGATGCTGACGAAGTTGTGGAGAAAAAGGAACACTTATACACTGTTGGTGGGAGTGCAAATCAGTTCAACCATTTTGGAAAGCTGTATAGTGATTCCTCAAAGAGCTAAAAACAGAGCTGCCGTTCGACCAGCAATCTTATTACTGGATATATACCCAAAGGAATAGAATTCTTTCTACCATAAACACAAATGCACACATATGTTCATTGCAGCACTATTCACAATAGCAAAGATATGGAATCAACCTAAATGTCCATCAGTGGTAGATTGGATAAAGAAAATGTAGTACATATACACTATGGAATACTATGCAGCCATAAAAAAATGAGATCATGTCTGTTGCAGGAACACAGATGAAGCCAGAGGCCATCAACCTTAGCAAACTAATGCAGGAACAGAAAAACAAATACCACATATTCTCACTTATAAGTGGAAGCTAAATGACGAGAACACATGGACACAAAAAGGGGAACAATAGACTCTGGGGGCTACTTGAGGGTGGAGGGTGGGAGAAGGGAGAAGATCAGAAAAAATAACTATTGCGTACTAGTTTTAGTACCTGGGTGATGAAATAATCTGCATACCAAACCCCCGTGACACGAGTTTACCTATATAACAAACCTGCACATACACCCCTGAACCTAAAATTTAAAAAAATAAATAAAAGCTTCATGGTTTTAGCTTTTACAGTTTGTTCTGTCCATCTCAAATAAATCTTTGTGGGTTGTGTAAGAAGGGGGTCAAGTGAATTTTTTTCCCACACAGATGTCCAGTCATTGCAGCACCATTTGTCAACAACATGATTCTTTCTGCATTGGATTGCTTTGGCCCCTTTGGAAAATTAAATGATTTTCCCATCTATTGTTAGTCCTTGTGCCAATCCCACATTGTCTTGATACTGAACATGTTGAAGTTAGATAGTTATAAAGCCTTCAAATTTGTTCTTCTTTTTCAAGATTGCTTTGGATTTCTAGGTCGTGTGAATTTTTATAGAAATTTTATAGTAATCTTGTTAATTTCTGTAAAAAGTCTGCTGGGGTTATTGCATTGAATCTGTGTCTCAAGTTGGGAAGAATTGGCATCTTAACAGTATTGAGTCTTCCAATTCATCAACATTGTATATGCTTCTTCATTTATTTAGTTTTTCTTTCATTTTTTTCTCACTAGCATTTTATAGTTTTCAATGTAGAGATCGTGTACTTTGTTAAATTTTTTCCTAAGTTTTTTTTGGTGTTATTGCAAATTAAATGTAAAACAATTTTTTTTTCAAATTGTTTGTGCTAGTATTAAAAATGCATTTGACTTTTGTATATTCATCTTGTATCTTGAGACCTTGATGAATCTTCACATAAGCTTTTGTGGTTGTTCTATGCATGTCATAGGATTTTCTACTAAATCATGACATCATTGGCAAACAGGGACAGTTTATTCCTTTCTGATCTTTATGCCTTTTATTTCTTTTTCTTACCTTACTACAATAACTAAGACTTTCATTACAATTTTGAGTAGAGTGGCGAAAGTAGATATCTTTGCCTTATTCTCCGTCTTAGAGGGAAGGCAAAGCATGTAATATTTCACTTTAGGTTTTGTCTGTAGATTCCTCTTATCAATTTTCCTTTCTATTCCAAGTTTGCTAAGAGGTTTTTGGCTTTTAAAAATCATTAATGGCTGTTAAATTTTATTTTCTGCAGAATAAGAGCAGTTATCTGGTACTTGGTTGGTTTGATGGCATTTGGACATTTTTCTTTTCAGAGTCCACAGACCAATGCCACATTTCTTTATATCCACTTGTTCTTCTTCTCAAAAGCCTATGGGCAGCTCTTCTATTTCTGAATAGCATTATCATGAAGATTTCCATTATGTAATAGCATGAAGTCCAGAATAAAGAATGACAAACTTGTTTGAAAACAGTTTTACTAACTCAAATTGCAGACCACCTCTCCAGAACTAAAAGTTATGGTACACCTCCATATTCTACTTTTTGTCTCATTTTCCTATACTCATTTCTAATGTTTTCAGTTAATATCATTATTATTCATATTTAGAGCACTGTATTTCATTACAGCATTACTCAGTTATTGGATGTTGTTGTTTGAATCAGAAATAAAGTTTTATTTTATGAGTCATTTTATATAAACGAACAAATCATTTTGTTGAGCAAGGGTGTTTCGTTTCACGGTAATGGTAAAGAATTTGGGGATTAACTAGATGACAGATGTAGAAGTTAATAGGTCGTGACAGATCTGAGACATAATCTTTTTAATCTTTGATGAATGTACTTATATACCGGGTGCTACATAAATATGGAGTGGCCATTATCTTTGGATACTTAGGAAATCTCCCAGATGTTTAAAAGCACAGGAATTCATATATGCATAACCCACCCATTTATTTTTGTTCTTTGATTTATTTTTGATAAGAAGCAATATTATGCTTCAGAAGAATCTCTTGGACTAACCAACAGTACACCACACACACATCGAACCAGTTATCAGGCAGCCTGCTTGGCAGATCATCCACAGGGCGTACAATCTGAATTCCCTTTCTCTCCAATGAGGCCTTTTCTCTTTAGCAAAAGCAAATACTTTTCATTACACTTGTCCTTCCCTAATAAAGATATAGGATTCAAGAGGGTTTCTTGTCTTCTCCCTGTAATATACTCTCTGACATACGACGGAATTTTATGTGAGTTGAGTACATCTTGGACATAAGGAACTGAAGTCTCATCATGATAGGATGAAGCTTCTTGTATGGACAACTTTAGGCACAACTCCAGAATGCACTGTATTTATCAGGTTGAAAGAGTATGCCAAAGATTTCTTACCAAATGTGTGTGTGTGCACATATATGTATGTGTGTGATTGTGTGTTGATTAATGTATTAGTTACTTACTGCTGAGTAACAAAGGACCCCGAACTCAGCAGCTTAAGGTAATACACACTTATTCTATCACTGTTTCTGTGGCCCAGGAATCTGGGAGCGCTTAGCTGGGTGGTTCCAGCTCAAGTTGCTGTCAGCCATGGCTGGCGTCACATAGAAGTTGAACTGAAGGAGAGTTCCTGCCATATGGTGGCTTGAGCATCCTCAGGACGAGCGGCAGCTTCCCTAGTGCAAGTGACTTGAGACAGAGAGCTCATGGCAGACACAATCTTTTTTTTTTTTTTTTTTTTTTCTGAGACGGTGTCTCGCACTGTCACCCAGGCTGGAGTGCAGTGGCATGATCTCGGCTCACTGCAACCTCCGCCTCCTGGGTTCAAGTGATTCTCCTGCCTCAGCCTCCCGAGCAGCTGGGATTACAGGCACGCACCACCATGCTCGGCTAATTTTTGTATTTTTAGTAGAGACGGGGCTTCACCATCTTGGCCAGGCTGGTCTTGATCTCTTGACCTTGTGATCTGCCCTCCTCGGCCTCCCAAAGTGCTGGGGTTACAGGCGTGAGCCACTACACCCAGCCAGACACAGTCTTTTACCATGGCTTCTGCTATCTTCTACTGCTAATTCAGATAATCTCTGGTACAGTGTGGGAGTGGGCACCAAGGGTGTGTCTTGTAGGTGTGGGTCTCTGGGGCCATCTTGGAGGCTGTTACCACAGGTATGTTCCTGCAATGGAATTGGGAGCTTTGATAATTTTTCCTAATGTAGAAACAGATGTGTCTCTATTTCACTAGCTTTATTTTTATTTTTTAGTCTCTTAAAACATTTTTCTAAAATCATCAAATAAAGATTTTATGTATTTATGGTGCACAACATGATGTTTTGAAGTATGTATACATTGTGGAATGGCTAATTTGAGCCAATTAACATATGCATGACCTCACATACTAATCATTTTTTTCTGATGACAACACTTAAAATCTTATCAATTTTCAAATTCATTAGCTTTAAGTAGCAATTCTCTATTGAGCAACGTGGCTGTAAAGATGTGATATTATTCCAACCAGGTAATTATAGGTAGAATAATAAGACTTTATTAGTTTTTTGAAGAAAATCACCTGCTTCTAACATAACTCATCACTCTGAGAAGATAAACATTTAGAAATTACAGAACAGCCTCACGGCCTGTGTTCACTGCATCTCTGGGAAGAACAGAAGCAGCAGCTGTTACTGATACTCATTTTAAAAACACAAAGTAGTTAGATGAGACTGAGTGATTTGGTTGAATTTCAAGTACGGAGGAGGGAGGAAACTCGCATTCACCATGCGTCACTTTACATAAAAATCCTCACGGCAACCTCGTGCGGACAGCACACTGGGATTACCCATGTTTTACAGATGAGTAAATTGAGGCTGAGAAACTTGCCAAAGGTCATAAAGGTATGATTTAGGCAGAGCTGACAACTCAGCTCAGGGCTTCCGGCTCGCAAGCCCATTAATTTCCCAAGCAGGGCCACGTGCCCCTGCCCTCCTCCCACAAGTGGAAGCACCGCTGTCAGTCAGCAGCAGCTCTTCAGGCCATACCCGGCTTCATTCACGCTTAGGTCTTTCCAATGTGATGCAGTCCGCGCTTTGGAGGCACGGGGCAGTATTCACGTTTGATGCAGAGAAAGTCACTTGTCAGCACCCCGGTATGGCCTGAAACCCAGACCATCTGATCCCCCTGAATCCTCATGACTATGTTTTGGGGCGAATAAGGCTGCACTCGTCTCTTCTGGCCATTGGGCGTCTGCAGTGTGTAGAGTGGCTTGTGAGTTGGAGGTCGTAGAACAGGGTTATGCTGGTGCCTCTTCCACTTTGCCATCCCATACTCCTCCTGAAGATTCCTGGGTCCCCTGCCCTGTCCCTCACCGGGCCACAGCCCCCATCTCCATCCCACCCCCAACCCTCTCCCCCAGCATAAAACACTGAAATGAAAGGCAGTGTGAAAGTCAGACGGTCACTGCAGTTGTGAAGTGGGGACAGTGGGTGGTGGTTGCTCGTTAGCACCCACAGTGGACGTGTCACAGGGTTAGTGTCTGTAGCCATTCGGGAGTTCCTCGCTTTTCCACCCTTCCTGCTCCAGGTTTATTCCTTTAGTCAGCAGAATTGTCATTTTGTGGGCTTTTTTTTTTTTTTTTAACTATCAGGAGAGATGGTCAGGGGGGGTCATTTATTCTGATTAGACTTTTCCTGTTGCATCATTCCTAATTCATATTTTCTTAATATTTAGACATTATATATTACAGAATATGAAGCTTTTCTTACCTTTATATATCATCTGTGTAATTTACCCTTATGACCTATTTATTCCATACATTGTCTTTCTCCAAAGCCGTCCCATGTGCAGATGGAGATGAAGGCTAGTGCTGGGGAACCCTTATGACCTATTTATTCCATACATTGTCTTTCTCCAAAGCCGTCCCATGTGCAGATGGAGATGAAGGCTAGTGCTGGGGAACCCTTATGACCTATTTATTCCATACATTGTCTTTCTCCAAAGCCATCCCATGTGCAGATGGAGATGAAGGCTAGTGCTGGGGAACCCTTATGACCTATTTATTCCATACATTGTCTTTCTCCAAAGCCGTCCCATGTGCAGATGGAGATGAAGGCTAGTGCTGGGGAACCCTTATGACCTATTTATTCCATACAGTGTCTTTCTCCAAAGCCGTCCCATGTGCAGATGGAGATGAAGGCTAGTGCTGGGGAAAGAGGGAGAGGATACCGGGGAGGTGGAGGTGAGCCCACCTGGCTGTGCTAAACTAATGTAACCTCAGAGTTTTAAGCTATGAACGGATAAGCATAAGAACAGGACCAGAGAAGGCAGAACACACAAGAACAAGGCGTGGTATTGTAATGAAATAAAACTTACAACAAATCCGATGTGACACATACTGTCATACCTAATAGCTGTCGTGCTCAGGATAATTATCCGTAAGAGACAATCAATTCTCTCATGAGACTACAATTAATCTGTACTTTACAGAGTATGTAGGAGATACAAGATTATAGTTCTTCTCTTCCCTTCACAGGCTTATGTCAACAGAAGGAAAGATTTGTTTCCCTGATAACCTCCATACTGTATTCTATTACCACAACTTCTTTCTCACAGACACACTGACTTTCATAGTCATTAAAAGACCTGGTTCCCTGTGTGGTGGGGGCTGGTTCCCCTTCCCACTCCTCATTTCCGATGTTCTCTTGACCTTGATCAGACCTGGTTCCCTCTAAGTTTGACGGACACTCTAGGATTCTGCATCATGGGCAGGAGAAGCCGAGGGCTCTGGAAGAATGGGATTCTGGCAATGTTTGGGCAGAAGGATGGGGGAGGGTAAATAGAACTCACGAGGCAAATCAGGTGGGCCACAGGCCTCCAGGGGCCTGGCTCTGATATGCATCTGCACGAATGTAGTGTAGGAAAGAGAAGACTTGTTGGGAACCCGCTATGGGATCAGTGGAGGGTGTGGGGAGCCCATTGGGACCTGCAGCATGGGGCATGATGCCTTGCTGTGCATTCCCAGGGACAGTGGGGTTGTGTGCATGCTACTACCCACTGCGGCAGGACAGAATTCCCACCCTCCAGCTCTGCTTCTTCCCAGGCATGGGCAGGCAGAAGGGCTTTCTCCTTCCTGGGACTCTGTTCTTTCAGGAACTGGAGGCAGGCTTGACTGGGATGAATGCAAAGCCCTTCCCACAGCTGACCTTACCTGGGAGAAGCAGCACAGCCCTGAGTTCACTCTCCAAGGCTGCATCCATTCTCTCCAAGCAAAGTTCTCAGTCGCAACGGAAAACAACTTGGGCTAATTTTAGAAAAGGAATGTATTAACAAATAAAAGCTAGCTCACAGACTCTCTGGGAGGGCTGGAGCATTAGCCTTAGAGACTGCAGGGCTGGGAACAGTTTCCAAAATGACATCACAGACTGGAAACAGGGTCTCATGACCACACCATTGTGCCTGTGATGGAGGCCACAAGAATGCCACCTCTGCAAACCAGAGGGAGCTACCGCCAGAGAGCTCCAGGCTTCTCTTGCTTCTTTGCACAGCCAGCTGCTGAGCCAGACCAGAGAGGACACTGACTGGCAGAGCCCAAGTCCCCTTCCTGTGCCCTAGTTGCAGGGGAGGCAGGGATCAACTTCCCGCAGTGGGAACAGTCCTGGCTTCCATCACAACTCGTGAGGTAAGACTTCCCTAAACTGAGAAAAAAGGCTAACATGGGAAGTGGCCAGACAAGAACTCCAGGTGTCCGTGCAGCTCTGCCCAGTCCTCCGCTTGCCCTCTCCACCCTTTCTGCCATGGCTGAGAGGATCTGCAAGGGGAAAGCCTCAGCCCATTCTGGTTCCAGCCTTAGCCCATGCTAAGATGTCATTTACACACTGTACTCATTTCTGGCCTAAGTCAGAGATCACTGTGGGCTGCCCTAGTTTTTGCCCATGCCAGGAGGCTGCCTGCAGGGGATTCTTTGGAAAGTAGTCCTAATTATTCCCACCTTTGGTCACACCGATTCTCCTGTTTAGACTCTTACCTTCCCAGCCTTTCCCTGAAGCCTTTTCAGATTTCTCCCAGCTCAGCCCTTTTTCTGGCCTCCATTATGTCAAGATCAACACAGCCCTCATTATTTTGTAGATATTTACCTGCTGGTTTCCTGGGGGCAGTGACATGCCTTATTCACTTGCCTAAAACGCTAGCATCTATTGCTTGCATGGAGGAAGCCCAGGGCACAATGGGAGCATGAAGGAGGCCATCTGACCTCAACTTGGGTCCTCAACAATGACTTTTTGGAGGAGGTGATGTCTAAGACATAAATTTTAGAGAAGCTAAAATTAAATAAATTTTAATGAGCTAGGCTGAGAGTTAGGGAGACTGTGCATCTTCCCTAGTCTATCTATTTTTCATTCACTTTCACTCCCCTACTCCAGCGAAGGGCTTGCTGACCTACATCAAGAACTCAGGCAAACATCCGTGATAAATGCTTCAAATGCAGAAAGCACTTTGAAAGTAAATTTACTTGTTTTTTGGTGTGTGTGCGTGTGTGTGTCCTGGGCAGTATTTTAAAGCAATTGTCTATCAAACCTTAGACAACTTCAGTTGCAATGTATTGTTGATCCTAATAACTTCATAAGATTTCAAAAAGGATCAGAAATGCATATGAATAGGACCAGGTACTGTAATTATTCTTGCAACAGTCTCTCAATGGACACTTAGCGGATTAGCCATTTCATTTGATCAAATGTTCAGGCCATTTACATACTATACTTAACAGACCTAAGAATAGATCCATTTGTCTTAATGTAATAGTCATCCTTAGAAGAATCACTCAGCTAAGTGATTTACCACCATTAATTAAACTGAAAGCACTACCACTCTGAATAACACAGCAAAACTTAATGGTTTTTATGTCTGCAACATCACAGAGAATTTCATCCCTTCTTAGAATTTCACAATCATATGTTACTCGTCCTGTGTGGATGGGTGCTCCAGATCAAAGACCATGCGGATATACATGTTTTATATACAATCTAGATAATTCTTATGTAAGAAAAATGGTATGACTAATGGCTAATTGTAGAACTACAAGGAATAACACTGTGAATATTATTAAGTCTGAGCAATGAATAGATGTTCTCTTGTTAGGAACAAGCTTCCTGCTTCTTAATAAGTGAATCACTCACATTAAAGTGATAGCTTTCTTTATATGTGAATTCAGATTTTCCCAATCAGGGTTCCAGCTTAAAGCTCAGTATCTGCTATTTCCTTTATGTAAAAGGTTTGCTTTGAAAATAGAGACTTTTTACAATGACTATATATATGTTTACATATATGTATATGTATACACGTATACATATATGTACATATATATATTGCTGCCCTAAGGACTGTATTTAAAACAATAGCTATCTTTTAGAAGTTACTTATATTTTAGAATATAGTTATGAGAGCTGTAGCTATTTATGCTGGCTGTTCTCATATACTTCCCCTTTCTCATTTAAAAAGAGGGGCTATGTTGGGATTTGAGGGTGTAGTATGGAATGAATGTGGTTGATTCTGGCATTGTTTATAGTACCTTTATCTTATGGATAATGTTGGGACCACATGTACTCATGAAGTATAGGTGACTTGTAGCATGTGATGGGGTAAGAGTGGTGGCAGAACAGAAGCCCTCAAGAAAGTTGAGTCTGTTTCTGCAAAGACATCTCCTTGGAGAGTGGGCTGGAGGAGGCGATCCTCTCTCACAAATCCCTGCCCTAACTGGCCTCGCCAGGGTTTTGGTGTCCTCTCTGTGGAGTGACCAGCCTTGCTTTGTACAGTAGTAGGACCCCACTGTCACCTTACACGTGCAGACTCTTCACTTGGGGAAGGAGGAGAAGCCCCACACAGCTTCTTGTATCTCCCACTTAGGGTTTGTGTTTTGACACAGCTGTGGCTGTGTGTACTCTGTGCAGAGCGACACGCCCCAGGTTTGCCCACTAGGCTCATTTGAAGAGGGAGGGTGAATTTGGGATCAGGGGGCTGTCCGAGTCTTTTCTTTCGGTTATCTGCTGGAAGGAAGTCAAGAGTGAAACTTGGAGCCAGAGACTGCGCAGGGCTCTGATTCTGCTCCGTTTGCTGGCTGTGCAACCTTGGGCAAGGTATTCGGTTTCTGTTAGCCTCAGTTTTTTCATTGTAAGTGCAGGTAATAACTAACCTACCTTGCAAGGTTGTAGTGAAGTTTAAATTCAACATTGCTTCCAAAAGTATATTTAATTCAACAATTATTTCTTTGTTGCCTGTGTAAATATAACCCAGTGGATTCGGTTGTATGATTTACATAATTTATATTATAACTTAACATTGACTGGCTTCAATTAAAACTGCAAATACAAACAATAAAGCGCAGTCAATCCCGTTTTGCTGAAACTGTGAAGACATCTGATCACAAAATGCAAAAACATTTAGGACAATACTGAGAACATTGCAGTCATTCGTAAATGCTACTTGAATAAGATCCTTCAAGGAAAAAAAGGAGGAATTTTTTTTAATTCAGTGTGATGGGAGAATATTAAAAGTTACGAAACAATGATAATCCTTCAGTAAGTGTCATTATATTTTCACAACAAGCTTAGAACACGGATGCTTATGATACGTAATCTCTAGGAGCTGCTATTTGTCGGATCAAGTTCGGCTTGTTTTCTAGCAAGTTAGAGAACTAGAAATCCTAGTACTTACAGAGATTATCTGTGGAAAAGGTCCACGAGCTAGACTCTCCCTCTTGCAGGCATCACTTCCCAGCAGGGAGTTGGAAGCTCAGAAAGCCACGTTCACTCACGGGAGAACCTGATTGGCCGATAGTGACCCTAGTATCAGTGGGAAGCATGGAGTCCATTGCCAACATTATTATGCACCCACTGTGCTCATTAGTGGAGGAGAGGCTTCAATGCAGAATAAAGTCTCTGTCTTTCAGGGCCTTACTGTCTAGCTGGTCAATAGGACCTAAATGGAAAGCTGATAAATAACACTACATAAAAGTATATGCCGAGGGTCCAAGGCATGGAGCCAAAAGTAAGAGCTCCAGGTATTCAGGGGAGGGAGGGAGAAGTCGTACCAAGAGGGTGGCACTGGGCTGGGCCTCAGGACTATGCAGAGAGAGGGCACAGCACCCTGGGCAAGAGGTGTGGGGGCCCCAGTGTCCACGTGGGCAGATTGGACAATCGTGAGAAGATCGACTTGGCTGGACTCAAAGATGTATATGGCGATGGGGACACAGACCTAAAGGCCACATCAGTTGGAGAGTGAGTTACTTGGGTTGGAGGGAGGAGATGGTGCCCAGGGGGACTGTGGGGATGGTTGGGTGTGCCAGGGGCTGGACTAGGGTGGGGCACAGGGAGGGCACAGTAGGGACAGAAGCAAAGGGTGTTATGGAGGAAGAGTTAACAGGACTTGGTGAGGGAGGAGGCAGAACAGTCCTAAGGCTCTTGGCCAGGAGACTAGAACAATCACGGTGGGAACGGGGAACAACAGAGGGGAGAGTCGTTGGGTGAAAAGAGGGTGATTTTGAATAAACAAACAGTTTGAGGCCAGAGGGGAGGTATCCTGCTCAGGCAGCCCAGGGCAGTGGTACTGGCTCCCCCATAGGCATCCCCGGGGTCCCTCCTCTCCCCCCATCTGTGAGCTCCCAGGACCCCTGATCTCAATCACCACCTGGCTCCTGACTGATTCATCACGCGGCTCTCTGCCTGCCCAGCGGCCAGAGTGATCTTTTTATGCTGTGCACTGGTTCACTTCCCCAGTGTGAATGGCCCTCACCAAAGGCTGCTGCGTGCCCTCCCAAGGACACAGCCTGGTGAGGCCCTGCCCAGCTCGTCTCTCAGAGCCCTGTCTTTCCTCTTGACCTCCAGCCTGGGACTCCTGCGATGTCCACCTGGCCCCTGGGCCCACAGACCCACTGCTCCCTCTGTTTCCTTACAACTCCATCAGCCCCACTTCTCACGGGGTCTCCCTGGCCCCCCAGGTGGCTGGCACCTCTCTCTTCCCCATGCTCTGGGCAGCTACGGCTCTTCATCCTTCCTTGTCTCCTCCTTCTGTCCCACATACTGTTTTCTTGCCCTGACTCCCTGTCCAGGCTGGGAACTCACAGGGAAACCGTGTTATTCCTCCTTCTATCCCTAATCCTAGGGGTGCAGGGCTCGTCACACCAAGAAGAATGAATGGGGTGAGGGGCCTGAGGTGCGTTGTGGGGAGCAAGCGAATGCTGCCGAGCGACGGCGCACCAGGGTCCGATTTCTTAGGTTGAAAAGTAGACAGCGAAGATGAAATGTGGGAGACAGAATATTTAGAGGATACGGGAGGACATAAAGCCATTGGAGGGGAGGGCACCTGCCCGTGGGAGGAGAGAACGTCGCAAGGGGTGCAGTCTATGGGTGTCACTGGCTGTTTCCAGCTAGTTAAGCATCGTGGGTCCTCAGAGAGCTCATAGTGCAGTATGAGGCGCTTACGAAGGGACAAGACAGACCCCGAAAAACAGGCAGCATGAGACCAAGGGAATGCCAGGGGAGGCTTTCTCTAAACTGTGTTCCAAGGAGTGCTCTTTGCAATGTTAATAGGTGTTCTGCTTAAAAGGGGCTCTCTTGGCTGGGTGCGGTGGTTCATGCCTGTAATCCCAGCACTTTGGGAAGCCGAGGCGGGTGAATCACGTGAGCTCGGGAGTTCGAGACCAGACTCACCAACATGGAGAAACCCCATCTCTACTAAAAATACAAAATCAGCCGGGCGTGGTGGCACATGCCTGTAATCCCAGCTACTCGGGAGGCTGAGGCAGGAGAATCGCTTGAACCCGGGAAGTAGAGGTTGCAGCGAGCCGAGATCGTGCCATTGCACTCCAGCCTGGGCAACAAGAGCGAAACTCTGTCTCAAAAAAAAAAAAAAAAAATACTGTCTCGTAGAAAGGTGGTTGCCAAGGGCTGAGAGATGGAGAAATGGGGAGAGGTTGGTCAAAGGGTGCAAACTTTCAGTGATGAGATGAGCACGTTCTGGGGCTCTTACGTATGGCATGGGTGGTAAAGGATGTGTTAATCAACTGGATTGTGATAATCGCACACAATTTACATGGGTATCAAACCATTCCATGTATTCCTTAGATATATGTAATCTTTATTTGTCAGTTATTAATATTTAAAAACAAACATTTTGGGTGACTACTTGACTGTTGTGTGTGGATTGTTGAGATGGTATTGTAATCAATGATCTGTTTTATCTCTGATGGTGATGATGATGGTGATAATGATTATTTTATTGCTGCAGTTTACTTTGTGTACTTTGTGAGCATTTTTTTTTTTTTTTGCCCTCTACAGGATGGCAGTCAGATGGCTCTTAGTAGCTATAGCAAGTTGCTTTTAGACACTTATCTTTCAATCCACCAACTGTGACATTTAGAGTTTTACATATGGTTGAGATCCACTCTTACGTGTCATATATTTGTACTTTAGGATGTTTGCAATAAATGTGTGTCTACCTCCCCCAAATAAAATAAAATAAAATAATATAATAAAATAAAATAAGCTATCTAGGTATCATAAAGACTAAAATAGCATGTCCTACTAGGTTAAAAAAAAACTCTCTTGTCAAATAGGCTAGGAAAATGCTGAGTTTTTACTGTGGAACTTTTCAACGCCCTTGATGTACAAATGGAAACAACTCTCTCAGAAAAGTGTGTGCAGGGATTTTGAAATTTACCTGCCAAAAGAGTCTTTAAAGGTTGCACAGTGAGGCTGAGGAAGACCTGTTAACATGCCACAGGGTACCTGTGCTTCTCACAGTGCTGCTTGGGAAACAGTACATCATGATTCTAAGGAGGCAGACACCACATTGTGCTGGAGGCTCGGGGCCTCCCTCCTTTTGTATCCTTGCCTGCACAGGCAATGGTGTGGATGCTGTTCACTTTCTAGGTTTTGACTCCATAGTGCCTGACCCAGTGCTGGACAAGGCAGGGAGAAGGTGTGTAGACTCAGAACCCCCAGTGCAGCTGGAGGCTGATGCGTGCTCTAAGAAAGCCCCAGGCTGCTTCCCCAGTGCCTGCAGCATGAGCCAGCTTCTGCCAGTATTCCCCAGAAGTGGATGTGTGTGACTGTGCAGCTGTGTGCTTTCTTTGCACATGTGCCCATTTCTGCATGCAAAAGAGCTCATGGGACATAGGGAGCAGAGAGGGAGCAGGCAGACGGCGCTGCTTAGCCTGACTTCTCCCGGTGACCCATGGAAACGTTCCTAATGTTTTCTAAGAGTGTAGGTTCTGGTCTAAACACTTTCATTTTTGGAATGGAGGAAGGTGCTGCATTTTCAGTTAAGGCTGCTGAGGTGACTGAGCCTCATTCAGGGATATGCAGGGACTACAGACTTAGGCATCTCTGGGACCAAACTGTCTCAGGAAGTCAGAAGGATATTAAAGGATATTGGGAGTGCCTTTCCCTGTTAGTGTCAGCTAGCTAGTTGTTTTCTCTTCTTTACTAATAATAATATCTAAGACAGCTGATTGAAACTCCAGGCCTGGAGTCCTACCTGGAAACTCAGTCTGCTTGGCTAGGACCCCCACAAATGATAACTTTTGCTCTCTTCATTGGTCCCTCCCCATGGGACACAGAGATGCTCCTCAGTGGGTCCTAAGACCACCCTCCACACTGAGGGGGATTGCAGTGGTGTCATTTCCTAGAACCATTTCCTAGAACTACAGAATGCTGTGGCCGCCTCTCTCCTGCCCACTGCCCCTCCTTGGGCATTGATGCTGGATTGAACTATGTCCAGGCATCACTGGGTGCTGAGTACCTCCCTCACTGCCCGTCCTGGCGTCACTGGGTGCTGGGTACCTCCCTCACTCCCCATCCGGGCGTCACTGGGTGCTGGGTACCTCCCTCACTCCCCATCCGGGCGTCACTGGGTGCTGGGTACCTCCCTCACTCCCCATCCGGGCGTCACTGGGTGCTGGGTACCTCCCTCACTCCCCATCCGGGCGTCACTGGGTGCTGGGTACCTCCCTCACTCCCCATCCGGGCGTCACTGGGTGCTGGGTACCTCCCTCACTCCCCATCCGGGCGTCACTGGGTGCTGGGTACCTCCCTCACTCCCCATCCGGGCGTCACTGGGTGCTGGGTACCTCCCTCACTCCCTATCCGGGCGTCACTGGGTGCTGGGTACCTCCCTCACTCCCTATCCGGGCGTCACTGGGTGCTGGGTACCTCCTTCACTCCCCATCCGGGTGTCACTGGGTGCTGGGTACCTCCCTCACTCTCCATCTGGGTGTCACTGGGTGCTGGGTACCTCCCTCACTCCCAACCCCGGTTCCTCTGTAGCTTGTGCACCTCCTTTCTTTCCTGGATTCTCCTTCCCCTCTGGTCATTGAGGTTCCAGATGCCTCAAAGAAGACACTGCAAATGGAAGGAAGTATATGGCTTTTGAGATGGATGGTGATGGCTGGCTGGGGCCTTGTCAGGTGTAGATTTTGACCATCAGACCTTCAAGGAGGTGGGGAGGCGTTGGGGTGAAGAGCTGGGGAGGAGCTCAGAGGCTAGAAGCCATGTCCCTTGGCTAAATGGCCAAGGACCTGTGCTCTCAGAGGTGCAAAGAAGCCCAAGGGGGCAGACTGGGAACTTTCTGATGGGCTTTGATAGAAAAAGAACCTGTAATGTGGGAGAGGATGCACATCACCAGAGACAGAGCCTGGAGAGGCACAGGCTGCAGGGGAGTGCCGGGAAGGCTAAGTTTCCCAGGCAGCGAGGCTGCTGAAAGAGGCACGGCTGGGTATAAAGGGGTTTTCCAAATCTACCGGTGGAGCAACGAGAAGAGTGAGGATGGGCCAGGCCTCTGACATCACAGAGGATGTGTTGCTAACAGGAGACGGGAGAAAGCCTGCTCTCTATCAGGGAGAACTATCTTCGTGTCCCAAAGGGATTAAGAGGTGACCAAATCACACCAGCGTGATTAAGAGGCGACAGAAGCTTAGACGGATGAAGAAAGTTAGAAAGCCCCAGGTGGCTTTGGGTGAGTCTGCGACATGAATCCTGATGCGTTGATTGCATTTTGTGTTGGTGGAAGAAGCTGATGAGTCCACAGAGCCACAGTCAGCGCACTTAGAAGAAAGACTGAGAATGAGGACTATTCAAAAGAACAGGCAGATGTGCCTGGGTCAGGGAGATGCCGGCAGGCGAGGTCCTCCCGGTCCCCCGACAGCCTCCTCTGGCTTCTTCCTGCCCACACATAGACATGCCTGTAGTTCTCCTGCTTCCAGGGTGTGGAACACTTTTGGTCCTTGAACCTTTCCGTGTACTTCTACCTAGAGTCCCTTCTCCAACCTCACCCTAGGGATGCATTACTTTTACAATTACCATTGTACATTGTAATGGTATAATTGGAAATTTATACAATTATACTTTTTTTTTTTTTTTTTTTGAGATGGAGTCTTCCTCTGTCACCCAGATTGGAGTGCAGTGGCGCGATCTGGGCTCACTGCAACCTCCGCCTCCTGGGTCCAAGCGATTCTCCTGCCCCAGCCTCCCAAGTAGCTGGGATTAAAGTGTGCACCACCACATCCAGCTAATTTTTTTGTGTTTTCAGTAGAGACAGGGTTTCGCCATGTTAGCCAGGCTGGTCTCAAACTCCTGACCTCAGGTGATCCCACTGCCTCAGCCTCCCAAAGTGCTAGGATTACACTGCGCCTGGCTCAATTATACTTTTAAATTAGAACATTGAAGACCCAGTGCTCAGACAAGACCCTAACCTTAGACATGACTTCCTGTGTGCAGAAAGAACCCACCAGTGTACACAGTTACTGCCTTTTATTTCATATTTTATATTAACTTTTTGGCCCCAAGGAAACTTAGTGTGCCTCTTTCAGAATTTAAAATAGTACTCGGATTTCATAAGATCCCGAAGGTAGATGTCCTTCAATCACCAACGTTTTTCTCATTCACATCTTCAATAGTCTTTCCTAAGAGAAAGGCCAACGCCATGCTTCTGTTGGAAAGTTGGCCCTGAATCCAGGCAGACTTTGGAGTAAAATCCAGCTACCTAGAACCATCAACGCCCTGCATGGACCCAGAGAGTCTTCCCAGCCCGGTGTCCTCTCCTTTCATATCCCCAGGCAGCCGAGGGTCTCCTCTCTCCCAAGGTGGGAAGCAAATCCTATATCCATGAACAACATGGACTCTCTCAGGGTAGGTGGACGCTGTGAATGCAGCCTACAGCTGCCCCCAGTTTTTGAGCAGTTACACAGTGTGGTTCATAACAGCCATACATGTAAGTCAGGGTTTACCAATGTCCACACTGGTGACATCGGGGCAGGCTGCATGTTTACAGTGGGGACTGTCCTGTGCACTGTAGGATGTTTAGAACATCCCTATCCTCTATCCACTGAGTGCCAGGAGCACCCCTTCCTTCAACTGTGATGACCCAAAATGTCTGTAGACATTGCCAGATGTCCCCTTGATGGGGTTCTTTCTGGGAGGCAAAATTGCACTACCTATTGAAAACCACTGGTATACATAGAACAACCAGGGTATTTTTTGTAAGGGAGAGGCGGGTGGGTGACATGTGGGTAAGACATGATGAATCCTGACAGTCTAAATTCTGCCTGTTGGAAATAGAGTTCATTTTTATGTATCCCAAAAACTGTATGAGAGGAAAGAAATGTGTTCTGGTGTGTATCAGGTAGATCTTAAAATAAAATACAGTTGTGAATCTCTTGGGGCCAAATTAATTAATGATTTAGCACTTTCAAAAAATAGGTGTATCTGTCCTAATGTATCCAAGCAGCCTCCAGCATTCAAATGCCACAAGCAGCCTTTTGTGGTATTTCTTCCATCCCATTTTGAAGAAGTCATCTGAGCATGAAGAATCTTTTGAGTCAAAATGTGAGTAATTGTGCTGACTTGTTCTAAACAGCTAACGAGAATCTCTCACTCGAGTGTAAATTTGGGGTGTGTAGGTTTGAGTAAGGCAGTTTATGTAAGATGGGTGTGTTGGTTTGTTAACCAAGGCATTAAGGAGAGGGGTGGTGTGTATCAGCGAATCAAGTGTTGTTGATAGGAGACAGGAAGAAATCGCCTTCTATTGTTCTGTTGTACAATGTGCCTGGGGTTTTACCTTGCTGGCACTTTCTAACTCTGGCTTCCTGACTCCAGAACTGTTTCAAAAACCATTTTCACACCACATTCCTACAATCCTACTGTGTTTTCCATTGGAAATGCCATTTCTGCAATTTTTCACGTCTGTTTAGTTATTTTAGAACCTTGGAATGGGAAGCACCTCAAGATTAAAACCAAAGTAAACTGATAAAAAATAACACACTTTTCTCCAACCATAACATGTACCTAATTTGTGCAGTGACAGGCTCAGGGAGGAAAGAAGTGTGGGGCCCGTGGAGGACCTGGGGAAGCCACTGTCTGTGCGAGCTCCCATTGCCCTGGTCTTTTCACTGGTGAAGCATAAGAAATACAGGTGCCCGATCTTGACTCCTATGGAAAGCTTTAAGTGCCTCAGAGGTTCAGACAATCTCTTAACTTGTATTGAGCTACAGAGTTTGCTGTGCACTGGGAACCAAATTATAGCACTTTGGGAATTCTCCCCCAAATCAACAGGAAATAGATCTTTAAAGGTCTCTCAGCTGGGGCTTGGGTACAACGTTATTGGAAGGAATACCACTATCAAGACCTTGGTGTTCAAGCCCTCCTCATCAGTGAATCCAAGTAAAAGTGACTATTGCGTGCTTTGTGTTCTCTGCTAAATCAAATGCTATGGATTTCGTTTCTTTTGGCGTGTTTTGGAACCCTGGAACAGCTCTGGCTTTGGTGTTAAGTGCTTCCCTGGACGTAGCCAATGTGGACACTGCTGGCTCTGCAACCTGACTGGATGTGATGCAACATAGGACTGCATTGCCAAATATCCCACCTGAGTGTGGCTTAGTGAATTTCTCATTGCCAGTCCTGGAGTATCACCCTTCCGTGGTGAAAGCCTGGCTCACTCAGCCCCCCACAAGAGTGAGGCAGTGCATAAGCAGGGAATTCTGCACCTAGATGCAATGGGTTTAAGTTTTCTTCCCCAGATTTGTGGCATCAGAGGAAGACAGCCACAGAATTTTGGGCAAGGCACTCTAGATTATGGGGATTTAGTTTCCTTAGCAGTAAAAGGAAGGAGTTAACTTAGACCTCTTTGTTTCTAGCACTCTATTACTTTGAGTTTATTAGAGCAAGTGAGTACCTCTATCTGTAAGAGGAGACAAATAACATGAACTTAGGACCAAGAGGCTGTCTTCCCAGTGTTTGTTGGGGATGTTTACTTTGGGATAAATACTCTGAATAACGTCTCCTCTTTAACTCATTGAGAACACGTTTGTCTGCAACAGAAGCTGGCAAACTATGATCTTCTGGTCAAATGCAGCCTGCCTCCTCTTTTTATAAATAAATTTCTACAGGAGTACGGCCACGCTCATTCATTTAGACATAGACTGTGACTGCAGTTGCACTAGGAGGGCACGGTTGAGGGGGTAGGGCAGAGACCACCTGACCTACGAAGGCAAAAGTATTTGTGATCTGGCCCTTTACAAAAAAGTCTGTTGACCCCTGGTCTGGAACATCATTCATCCCATAATACTCACCCAGGTTCTGCAACGTGCCATGCTCCCTACCAGCTGTTGGGCACAGAGATAAGCCAGACCCAGTGCCCGACTTGGAAAGATTCCCAGCCTGGTGAATGTTCAATGAAGAAATTAGAGGTTTCTTTATTTAAAACAATAATACAGACAGCAATATTATTCACAAGAAGAATTGCACACTGTTTTTTATAAACACCAGTAGTGACGATTCTTCCCGTTCTCTTTATTGTATCTGTAAGAGATGTGGCTGCCTGTTTGGTAACGTTTCCTGTGTGTCTTTTTTTTTTATGCTAGATTTCAGTGTTCCTTAGAGCAAGGCAATATCTTTTTCTCAGTGAAATGAAAAAAGTAAAAATGATTCTTCACATCAGGTCCTGCTGAAAACATCCCGTGTGCCCATCTTCTACAAAGAGAGGCCAAACCCTTTTGTGCGGGTGCCGAGGCCTCGGTGTCCTGGCTGCCGCTCCCCTCCTGGCTCCCTCGTCCACTCGCCTTCTCTCATGCTCTCAGCTTGGATCTTGCTCAGGTGCTTGCAGTTTCCTGCAGTTTTGGGTCTTCTCGCCTTTCTGCACACCACTTTTCCACCTGATGTCACCCCTGCCCTTTCTTGTGTACCCCTTGAGTCCCCACTCTTTCCCTCAAGGCTCTGTTCAAGTCTCACCTCCTCTGATCCCTTCCTAGGCAAAGATGTTTACATTGTCTTTTGTGCAGCAACCACAGTTTGTATATAACTCCACTACTATACTTATTACACTATATTGTACATATTTGTCTATATCAGTGTTTCTCAGTACAGGGGAGAGTAGCGATTTTGTTCTTCAGAAAACATTTGGCAACATCTGTAGACATTTTTGGTTGTCACAACTTGGGGAGAGGTGGGTGCCATGCTCCCATGGGTGCGTGTAAAGGATGCTGAAGACATCTTACCACGCACAGGACAGCCCCACACACAGGCCCATCTGGCCCCAGGTGCCAACAGAGCCGAGGCTGGGAAACCTTGGTCTACATACCTGCCTTTCCCATTAGGCTGAGCTCCTCATCCGCAGGGGTTGAGACTGGTTCGTCTTTGCGTGTTCAGTGCCTGGCACATAGTGGGCAGTCCATCTTATTGAAAGAGTCAATGTCTTCCATGTATTTTGCCACCTGAAATCCATAGCACAGAGCTAGAGTTATAGCAGGTGCCAATAAACACATGTTGATGAATTGTTAACTGATGAAATGAGAGAAAGGAGAAACACCCTTGCTTGTAATCTGGTGACAAATTGGAACCCACTGCTCTCCAATGAAGTTAGCCTCCTTCAGATCAATCACAGCTTCAGAGGAAAAGGTCCTCTTTCTGCTCAGAATTGTTTGGCATAGAAAACATTTTCGCCATTCCAACCTCCTCGTTCTCACGAAGGGAAAGAAAGGAAGAGAGGATGGGTGCTCAGGTAAGGAGAACTGGCTGGGGCAGAGGGGGTACGCCGTCCTGCCCTGAGAGCCCTGTGAGAGAGTGAGGAGTTTGGATAGGCGTCGGCGTTGAGTGCACTTGGGAAAAACATGTCTCTTGAAACTTCACTGAGAGGTGATGCAAAAAATTCTGCTCCGTGCCCTGCAATTGTTGCCTCTGGGGCTCTACTATCCTCAAGAAAGTTGGGGAATTCCAGGCTGGAAATATTCAGAAAACCATTAGCTAGCTGTCATAATGGGGAGGTGGAGGGCAAGCTACGCAGAGGTCACAGATCATCTGAGGCATTGCTTCAGCGTATAAGCTTGCTTCCCACACAGCTCTTTGAAGAGTGGTTCATTAACCGGGCAGGAGACCACTGGTTTTGAAGCCTCTTTTTCTCTTGCTCAACCTTGGAAAGAGCTGGGTTCCAATGGGACCATCCAACTCACCAGCAGGTAAAGGTGTGAGACAGGGAAAGGGTGCATTTGCTGAATATCTAAATCCACTCGATAATGGTGTCTGCAGGCTTTGATCCTCAGTGCCAGAATTGTGAGTTCAAATGAAATCTGAGGATGGAATTAACTCCAGGCATTAAGAAGGGCAGAAGTGCAGTTTCTTTGTTGAAGGAGGCCACCCACTCGTAAGTTTACCTTGCTAGCCTGTAGCGCTCCAGGCAATCTGTCCTTTTTGAGCAGGTGCTGTGGAATACTATCTCCTAGATAAACCCTTGATTGTGGGCTTTGAGTTCTGGCGACCCATGTTTAAAGGGATCACGCCAGCCCATCAATGGTTAACCGTGGAGAAATGAACCTTCCCAGAGGAGGTTATTTGTTCTAGATGTTGCCGTTCTGGTGACTTCAAGGAAATGGTGTGTGATCGTGTTTGTATGTGTGTGGCTTCTCCTTTCTTAAACACATAGATTACAGTGTGATTACATTGTGATTTGGAAATCGGTGATTCTAGATTGTGCTGTTGTGCTGACAGAGGGAGGACTGGATTACACAATGATGATATTGTAGGTGGTGCAACCCTCAGGCGCTCGGCCAGCCTGCGGCCCAGGTGCATGCTGTTTGGAAAGATCTGCGTGCTTGTCCTATTGTCATTTATTCACACCAGTGCACAGCTGTGATAATGAGGCACATCGCCCCATGCAAATCTATAGAGTAAGTTTCATGATAAGGCTAGCTCTTTTTAGGAAATCGGTGGCAGGTTTTGATAGAACCCCTTAGAGGCCTGTATGTTTCTAGGGCTTAAATTTTGCATCCTGGAAGTTTTAGCTATAAATACTGCATAGACTGGTGAGGTCTACAGTAAGCCAATTCTACCAGTGTTTAGGCCACGGGACAGTGATTTCCTTATGCAACTTTCTTTAGGTTGTTGCTGAAACAGGGATAATACTGGCCCCCACCTTGATGTTTGTTTCAAGGAAAACCTTGTCTTTCATGGGAGTGTGTTATTGCTTCTCCCAAGGGACACTTTCCGTGGTAAAGAGGAACAGCACCGTGGTTGTTAGGGCAGGTCTGAGATGCCCAACTAGGGTGCTGTTGCCCCCAGGGACATTTGGCAATATCTGGAGACCTTTTTATGCTACAATCACTAGGGAATGCTACTGACATTAGTGGGTTGAGGCCTGGGATGCTGCTAAGTGTCCTGCAATGCACAGGACAGCCTCCAACACAGAAATATCTGGCCCCCAATGTCAATAGCGCAGAGCTTGAGAAACCTTGGGGTATACAAGTTGGAAACATCCCTTCCCTCTAAAACCACTGGCTCCATTATTATTTAATTTTACTCTGCTTGTAACCTGGAAGGCCCATGGGGACCTTGCTGAGCATACAATGCCTTTTCTCCCAAACCCCAGGACCCTTGTTCCTGGAGTTGGAATTAGATGCTCACCTGCTCCTTCTAGCAGCTTCCCCACCATTTTCCCTGTTTGCCCTGAAAAATCCCATCTCCTTTGAATTGCACCCCTCAGACTATACCATTCTCCTGTAGTGAATGTTACCGTTCCCTACAGTTTCCTACCGAAGGCCTGGCTCCCCTTGCAGTCACCGTAGATTCCCATGGTCAGCTTCTTCACCTCTTCTCCTGGCATCATTCCTGGCAACTGCAAGACCTCTCCACACACGGACGATTCTGCACTTACAGGCGTTTCCACCCACCTCCTGCCAGTCCTTGCTTTGCACGGTGACTCCTTAGACTTGCCATCACCAGTGATTTCATCATTGTCCATTCCTGGCCCCCATGGCCCACCCCGGCAGCCTACTTACTGCCCCTGCTCCTCCTGACTCCTGCACACTGACACCCCCACACCCACACGGCGTAGAGTGCAAGGCGCCGCACTCTCAGCATGCCTTTGCACACACCCTCAAGGCTCCTGGAAAAACCCAGAGCTCAGCTTAGCTCCAAGCTTTCCCTGCCCTGGCCCCTCATCTGCCTGGGAGACAGCTCTGCTCCAAGTTACACCCAAGGCTTTCAACTGGGCACTTCTGGGACCTCCGCCTCATGCCGTTCCCCCCTTTCAATGACAGAGTCCCTCCTTATCCCCACTCCCAGCTGATGATCTGGTTTCTTATTTGGCTGAGAGAACAGAAGCCGTGGACACAGAGCCAGCTCATCCCTGCATCTGCTTCGAGTACTGAAGCCCCTCCTTGCCCCTCCTTGTTGGGTGAGCCGCCTCTGCTCCTCTGGCAGGAGGCTCCCTCCAGCTGTGTGCCAGGTCGTCCACTCTCCCCTCCAGAGCAAGGGCCACCCTCGCTGACGAGGTCTGCCCTCTTGCCGCAGCATTGGTTTCACCTCCTGTTTTGGATCTTTTCAAACAGCACACGAACATTCGGACTCTCTCCTACTTAGGAAAAGTCCCCCCCTTGGGCGACCTTCCATGCCAGTTACTGCTTTATTTCCGTCTTCCTTTTCACAGCAAGGCTTTTTAAAACAGTTAGGGGAACGTCACACACCGGGGCCTGTTGTGGGGTGGGTGGAGGGGGGAGGGATAGCATTAGGAGGTATACCTAAGGTTAAATGACGAGTTACTGGGTGCAGAACACCAACATGGCACATGTCTACACATGTAACTAACCTGCACGTTGTGCACATGTACCCTAAAACTTAAAGTATAATAATAATAATAAAAAATTAAACGGGTAATCTAAAAAAAAAAATCTAACCATTTTCTCAATTAAAATAAAAAACAGTTCTCTAGACAGTTTCTACTTCCTCCGTTCTTACCGTATTCACCAGTGAGTTTCACACGGTCGGATGAAATGTCATTCCCTAGTTCCCATCCTACACCTGGCTGGATGGTAATAGACATCGTTAGTACAGGTCACTCACTCTTTCTTGCTTGGCTTCCGGGGCATCCGAACTTGGTTTGTTGTTGTTGTCATTTGCTTTAATTTTAATTTAATTTTATTTTTGCTCAGGGGTAGCTTCCTGTCAGTCTCTTTTCCTGGTTCCCCTTCCTTTTCCTAATCTTTCGACGCTCGAGCTCCAGGACACAGGCCTAGGCCCTGGTCTCTGCTTTACCTTCCTCTTCTCCCTGGATACTTTACATCCTATGGCTTAAATGCCCTCCTCTGCTGATTCTCACGTTGCTCTTTCTCCCCCGAGTTCTAGGTTTGCATGCCAAACTTTCTGTGTGACCTCGCTACCTAGAGGCCGTCCTCACTAGAGTGTCAGGTCCACAGCACAGGGACTCCATCTCTGTTTGCTACAGCATCTCCCAGGTGTCTGGAACAGTGACAGGGACAGAGTGGGTGCTTATCAGATACACGTGGGGTCTAGAATTTCTGTCCTTTCCCCTCAGACATACAAAGAGAAAAACTGAGCCCAAGGGCTTCAATTTCAACCATCCTGAGAATCACGCTGTCATGGAGCCTTCTGGGGTCAGTCTTAAAAGTAGGCGGGGTGGAGACTTTGAGGAATTCCTCTTTTTCTCTAAAATATGTAGAAGGAGGGTGTCCTAAAGTCTGGTAAACTGGCTTAGCCATATGCTCAGCCCATAACCTTCTCAAATTGTGAGAACAACTTGCCCTTGAAACAAACACAACAATAAAATAAAATAACTGACAAATCATCTTTATTAAATAAGCAAAGAGTCTACATAGATACAGTCACTTGTCTGTCACTTGTAGAGTATTTGATGTGTGTCTGATGCTGCCCCTACTGAGTTGTGTGATCTTGGCCCAACAGCTTTAGCTCTCTGGTCCTCAGTATCATTTGGTGTCATTCATATTAGATTATCCTTTGTGTTCCCTTTAGCTTAAAGTCTCTGCATTCTTGGGCCAGGCACAGCGGCTCACTCCTGTGATCCCAGTGCTTTGAGACGCTGAGGTAGGAGGATCACTTGAGCCCAGGAGTTTGAGACCAGCCTGGGCAACACAGCAAGATCCCATTTCTACAAAATAATAATAACAAGAAGAAGAAGAAGAAGAAAATCTCTATATTCTTTAAGTAGGAATTGATGTAATTGTTCCTCTTAAAAAGAAAATACCATTAGGAAAGATAACATTTAAAGCTTCCTTGGACAATTGAGTCATAGTGAGATTTCTATGTTAGATTCTTCTTGAAAGCAGATTTGGCCAGGGAAGTGAGCAGGCATGGTCCACCTAGATGTTTCAAGTAGAAGAAGGAGATGGTGTTGAGGTGTAGAGAATGACGAAAGAGTGAAGAAGGGGAGAGAGCATGAAGTCAAGCTTCAGAAAGTGCAAGCCCTTGCCAGTGACCAGGTGTGGGTGTTTGGCTGTGTCTCAGTCGGGGATGCGTAGGTAAAAAAGGCAGTGAGGTGTGTTTGGAGATAAATGTGCCACTATGGGCGTATGTGCCATTTCTGTGGTGGCTTATGTACCTCATGAAACCCTCCTTGGTTCGGGCCCTAAGACATTGGCCAAAGTTTGCTTTAGGATTATGTATGAGGAAATACTTTATCAATTAAACCGCTAGTGAAAACAAAACACAAGTAGACTCTTTAAACCACTTAAAGGAGTGAAATGTTCTAGAGACTTCGGAATAATGCTTCACAACTGGTGTCCAGGGAAACCAAGGCCCACTGGAGTCTTAGGAAAAATTTCAGGGAAATGGGGTTCTGTGGTCAAATCGTCCCTTGATACGTCAATGCATCTTAGAAATCTCCAAGAGGGAGAATATCAAACAGAATGTTCCATCCGACCGCGAAAGCCTTGTTTCCCATTAGGCACCTATAAACATCTCTAGCTTTCCTTTTGACACAATTTGGAAAGGATGCTTTGGAAGTAACCATTTGCTTGAGTGCAATTTCTAAAGTGATCATAACATTCATCAAAACATCTTTACCGCCTAGGTCTATCAATAAAGCACTGACAGAATTGGTATAACTCAAGTTAACACATTTTCTTGAACCTAGGAAGCAGCTTTGTCATTAAACGTAGTTGATAATTCAGCATGTTCCACTTCTTTTCCTAAATGCTGCCCTTTCTTTAATAAAAATTGATCTGTATTAAGGGCCTAAAATCAAGTAATGAGGAGTGTCAGATTGGTAAGACATAACTTATTTTTGTGTTATTAAATGTCAGAGGTCTAAAGTTGAAATCCAGTGTGATTTGCATATTTTGTAGGATTGCTTTTTTTTTTTTTTTAAGAACCATTTTCTGCATGGCAGATTCTTGCCAAACACCCAGTGTCGTACAATTGCTGGACAGAGGCCAGTCTTAGAGCAATTGCTGGTAGTCACTGTAACAAAAGTTGTTTTATAATTTTTCTAAGATGTTAAGACTATTTGAAAATAGTGAAGAACACCATTCATCTTTTCATTACTTGGCTGAACAAAAAAAGAGAAGGTCATTCTACGTGATGAAAGTCATTGTCGTTTGATATTCAAGCCTCAAAAAGAAGAAACTTGGGGGAAAGGAAATAAAATGTCTGTGTTTTTAGGGGACTATTCAGTGGTGACGTCTTATGTCAGTGGCATTCAGAGCTCCACTGTGTTGGGCGTCTTGTGGGTGCCGGTTTCTAGGCAGCTGATTCGGCTGGCATTGCTTAGTGCAGATGCGTGTGCCACTGATAGCTCTCTTACAGCACCGTGGAAAACTGCCAGGCCTCTGTAATGGGACTGTATGCCATTTCCTTTGCCCTGACACTTTCCTGGTGAGGTCCTCCCTGAGCTGCCTGATATCTAGGCTCAGTGAAGAGCCCACGTAAGGCTGAGACGTCTCCTTTCTGGGCCTATGCTGACCCCTGCGGTTGGTGTCACTCCCCACACACCTTCTCCTTCAGATTCTATGTGATGACCAGCATGCTTGGGATTTCAACTGAATGGAGCCCTGCACGCCTGTATTCCCAGCTCGCTGTGCTCTGCAGGCATCTGGGAAGGGGCTTACTACCGGCTGTCTGTCATCTCCAGCCTGTCCTCCAGCGGAGCACTAGGGAACCAGAACGCTCTGCTCTCCACTCCCACTCACAGGGGGGAGTGTGGAAAATGAGCTTGCTCCTACTCTCATGAGAGAAATCAACAGTTTTGATAATTGCTACAAAAGTAGTAACAATCCTCCCAAAATGACTTTAGACAAACAAGAGCAACAAAACCAAGATTTAACATTATCATTATGATTAACGAAATTTATGCAACCCATAAGGCTAACTCTCAGGTGGAAAGAAAATTCTATTGAAAACTAACAACTCTGGTCTCAGTTCTTTTTAAAATCGGAGTTAAAGAGCATAATTGGATTGTTTGCAACTCACTTGATAAATGCTCGAGGAGGTAAATACCTGGTTCTTCATGATGTGTTTATTTCACAGTGCACTCCTGTATCAAACATCTCATGTACCCCATAAATATATATACCTACTGTGTACCCACAAACATGAAAATAAAAATAAAAAACAAAAGAAAAGTAAAATTGGAATTAAAGGAATACTTTAGGCAACTCACTTCACCAATACTGGCCTCAGATTGCTAATCTTGTACAAACTGGGGGTGGTGATTGGAAAAGGTGATCACTAGGGCCACGTCTTGCTCTCAGACATGAATTCTACCTTCCACAGATGCTTCTTTCCAAAGGAGGCTGTGCCTTTGAAAATTCAAATGTTCTTTATTTATGCCATGCCTACTCATGTTTCAGTCATATTTGATGCATGAATTTTAAGACAGGCTATATATTTACAAAGAAAATAAATTTGCCACTAAATCCTTTTTGAAACAAGGTGGGTATAAACAAACGGTTAGACACAAAGTTTTATTTCAGGTAGACATCATAAATTTGGATGATGGTCATCCTTGACCCAGATTTCTGGATTTTGTTAAAAATGTGGAAAATACTTCTGCAATTACAGTGGTTGGATTTTGGTTTCCTGAGAATGTAACAAGTTTTACAAAGCATGTTTATGTGATTGGACTCAGGGCCAGGCCTTGCCAAAGCAGCAGGCAAGTGACTCTGCTGGTCTTAGCACTGAGAGTCATTATAACTCTGAATAGCATCACTTTTCTTTTATACAGATTATCAGCCACCGGAAGCATTTCAGGTCAATGTTACCATTTTCCCCTTTGGCATAAAAATAAATTTACTAAGCTAATACATTCCTCTTACTTTTAAAATATAAGCACGGATTGGCAAGTTCATGCCAAACACCTTGCGTAAGTTTCTCCTGGAAGCTGTAAAATCTAATCTGACTACGAAAGTAGGAGCAACTTTTACAGATGTTGATACAAGGCACATGAAGAGAGTTTTCTTTGGTGACATCCAGTTAGCTTCCTAGCATTTTGTTTTTTCAACTGGAAATAGATCCAAAAGACTCTGATCGTTTCAGGCAAGTTAGAAAATAAATTTCAGTATTTGATCCTTCTTGGCAAAGGCACACTGGTAAAGTAAAATTTTCCTTGTTACTTGAGAATTTCAAATGATTATAACCATTCTTTCCTTTTTCCTTCTATTCATAAGAGCAGTTGATTCTGTTGTCATTACTTTTTCTTTATCAACTATTCCTCCCATCTTTTTTTTTTCCAGAACATATTTAGATAGCTCTCATTGTAGGGAAAAAACGTTTTTGCTTAACCAGCCAATGCCTAGATGCTCCCCAAATCTGTTCTTCTTCATTGTTCTTCTCTAACAAGTGGTCTACCTAGAGTTTCTCCATTTTATTCTAGGATCTATTCCCAACTCTCTGCATCTGTGCAAGTATGAAGCCTGCTGGTCATTTTGCAAATCATGGTGACCTTAACCATGGTGATTTTTGTCTGGCTGTCCTTGTAGCACTTCTGATGACCACACCTTTTCTGTAAACTCTCTCCTCCCGGGCCCCTCATGCCATTCCTGGTCCTCCCCCATCTCTTTGCAGATTCCCCCTTCTCCTGGCTCTTCCCTGGGGTGTCCTCTGAAGCCCAGTGCCCTGTCAGTGTTATCACTCCAGTGTGACCACTTTCTTGCTCTTAGGGAACCTTCATCTCCAGGCTTGAGCCAAGACTTTAAAACCAAATGCTCATCTCCAGATCTATTCGGTGTCCAGCCCTGCATTCTGATGGCTCTCCAATTACCTTAGCCATTCTGATGGCTCTCCAATGGATGCATCACAGCCATTTCAAACTCAGCACATCCAAAGTGTCATAACACAACTGGACTCTTTTTTCCCCACACAGTTCGGTTCCTTTTCCAATGCCTTTATTTCCATGAATGGTGTCATTATTTTTCTAACTGAGTAGTTTTAGAACCTTGAAACAATATTCTGTATTTTTTCTCTCTCTTCTCGTATATTGGATGATGGCGATTCCTTGCTGTGTCTGTAAGACTTCACATCAGTCCTCAATATACTGATAAGTTTCTCCTAAACAGGACTGATAATGCTGATATCAAGTTGGAACGATTTGACCAGGAGCCCCAAGACAAGACCGCATCAAAACTAGAATAACTGTAATACTTTAAATCAGCCTTTGCCTCAAAAGTAACTTCCGGGGCCTATTCTTGTCCATCTGTCTTACCATCCATCCATCCATCCATCCATGCATCCATCCATCCGTCCATGCATCCACCTCCCTACCTTCATACCTACAGACTGACCCATCTATGTCTCAACATTGTGGACGTTTGGACTGGATACATCTGTGTTGGGAGGGCTGTGCTGTGCATGGTAAGATGCTTCACAGTATCTGTGACCTCTGCATACCATGAGCCAGCGGCACCCCCTCCTCAGTTGTGGCAACACGAAATGCCTCCAGACATTGCCGCATATCCCATGGGGGCTGAATCTGTCCCCTGCTTGAGAACCACTGCTCTATCCTATCTCCAGTGCCACTCTACAAATTCCGTAAAACTGTTGAAAATATGTATCATTTTATTCTAAAATATGCTAGTAATGTCTTTTCAAATTCAGTCTTCTGGAGTCAGTGTTATAATATTCAGCATGAATTTACCATCTCTATTTATTTACTTACTTTAAAAGGCCAAGTGGAGAAATTTTTGGACGACCCTTATCTGTAGCTTCTGGTTAGAGAATTTAACATAATAAGGTTTTAAATGGCATCAAATAAAGAGTTTTGCCCAATGGGAATTGGAAGGCATTTTATGTATAAATGTCTTGGGTAAATCACCCAGGTCTGCCACTGTGCTTGTTCTGAGAAGCACATTTCAAAGGTTCTCTAAGATTTAAATTTTTCAGTTCTAAATGAGAAGAATAATTGTGTCTATCTCATAGGATTGTGGTAAGCACTAAATGAATACTTCTAAAGCCCTAAAGCCCTGGACAGAGGCCTGGCATATTGTGACGACATGATGATGTCCACTCTCAGCTGGAAATAGAAATGGCAGGCTTGCTGTGGTTGAAGTGGGGTGGGGGGTCTGGACCCACCCACGAAGACCTCCCCTTCACATGAGGCCCAGCTGCACTTTGGCATGGACCCAGCTACCAGCTATGCTTGTCATCCTGTGGCTGCCCTCAGCTACTCCTGTGCAGAAGTCAGTGAGTGTGCACCTATATCATGGCTACGAGACACTCAGTGTGAAACTGCACATGCTCACGGCATCTGAAGCAGTGGATTTGCTTGGGTGGCAGCACCCATGTTTGTACAACCCCGTGTTTCTTAGATGAAAATGGAGCAATCCTCCTGCACGTGTGTGCTCCCGTCTAAGGGTATAGGATTCAGCACTGAGAGTCATACTTTCCACTGGAATTGCTTTGCTGGACTCTGGTGACCTTTGATTAATGTCCACTTGACCCTTGAAGGACACAAGTTTGAGCCGCACCACTCACTTACATGTGGGTTTTCTTCCACCTCTGCCACCCCTCCTCCTCCTCCTCTTATGATTTTCTAAATGACATTGTCTTAGTATACAACACATGTAACATACAAAATACATATTAGTCAACTGTTTATGTTATCAGTAAGGCTTCTGGTCAACAGTGGGCTATGAATAGTTGTGTTTTTGGGGAATCAAAAGTTATACGTGGATTTTCAACAGCCCGGGGGGTGGAGTTGGTACCCTTAAGGTCAAATATATTAGTCAATTAACATGCATTGATTAGGCCTACTTTACAGTCAAAACTAGACTGGCCATTACCAGGACTGCTCTTCTGTTTTAGACACAATCCCGCCCTCTGGGAGATTAAAATGTAAGTGGAAAGAGACATGTGTCATGTTCAGAAATGGTTGAATTCAGAGTGTGTCTGTCACAAAAAAACATGCATGTTGGAGTCATTGACGAGCTGAGTTTGAGTTTCCAGTTCTTTATTTGTACACTCTTGTGTCTCTGAGTGTTTGCAGGGATTGAATAAAGCTGTGCTACAAACTGTACAGCACAAGGGATACTCGAATGTCGTAAATCATTTCAATGAAAATCAGTCTTTCTCTGTTAATTCATTAGGCAAAAATGGTCGGGTATGTTTTCATCAAATGTATTGGGAGTGTTTGGAATTTCTGACTTAAAATACGGGTGAAGTCGACACTCTGTGACTCGAGGTCACGTCACCCTGGAGTTGGCAGATATGACTTTATATTCCAGTTCTGGTGGGCAGACCTTCACCTTGGTTCCACAGAGTCCCAGTTCTAATGACAGGACTGCGACTTGGGCCCTGTGACTGAATCCACCTTTAGAAACTTCCAAGGACCCAGCCGGTTTTAGGATTGAGGCTTTACTCTTACTAATCTCCCTTTCAGATGTGAGATTCCGGGCCCTGAAGCCCAGCCCCACAGCCTGCCGATGGGACAGGTGTACACCTCCACTTGAGGCAGGATGTACCTCTCCCTGGACACCTCTCCCCAAACCACTAACATGGGTGTGCTCCAAGTCCTGGCCCTTGGAGGACTTCCCCACCCTGCTTTGCAAGAGTATGACAATACCCTTGTTTAGAACATTCTATCAGAGGACATTATGTGGTCCATAAAAATGGTTTAGCCCGTTATGCTAGTTTCTCTTGAAGGCAGATGGTAAAGTCAGTCCCTGAAGTGTGAGAAGCCGATGGGGATGTTTTGCATGCGGAGAGAGTGTGGTCTCAGGCTGAGCATTCCAGATGGCTGCAAAGGCATAAATCAAGAGCAGTTACTGATCAGAAAATAACAAGGAGGTTGTCATTTAAAATTTACAAACATTTACTGGATCAGAAACCCTGTGGGCTTTGGAGATACAGAATGGAGTCCGGTTCAGCTCCCACTGGGACAGAGAATTCAACATAGCCGCAAAGAGAAGCAGGCTGGACAGACAGGCCCAGTCTTCAGCAACCAGGGGTCCATAGGGCCCAGGTTCAAAGGCAAGCAAATGTTTAAATGAGTGGAACAGTTAATTAGTGACAAGGCTATGAGACTCAGGCTTAGGAAGTTTTTAAGAAAATTCTCACACAACTGGTACAGTAAAACAAAAAACTAAGTTGCTATAAATACCATTTTTCGTGTTAAGAAATGATATTTTCTTTAGAAACACCATGGATGAGTGTGTTGTTATATATATGTATTTTTTTCTTGTCTGTTAATCATAGCAGAAAACATCCCATCCAATAAGCCAAAGTTAGTTTAAACAGGACTTTCATTCTCCTGGCAGTAATTAATTGGAATGCAAACGTATTATCTAGATAGCCAGTTTACATTTTTAAAAAATTACAAAAATATCTTTTTAAAAAATCATGCAATAATAAATAGCAACAATAAAATCGCTGACACTGGTTGATTCTCATGTGCCAGGCATTATTTACACTATCTCATTTAAACCTCTCAATTACCCTCCTAGGCCAACTCCGTTGTTATCTCCATTTTAAAGATGAGGTCGAGGTTCAGATCAGTTAAGTCACTGGTCCAAGGTCACACAGCCAGTGGCATCGAGCAATTGCCTCCTGACCAGGTTCTTCACTCCTCTACTACACACAATAGCAGGAAGAACAGCTTCAATTCTCCAGGCTGTTTCTTAGACGCTCTAAGTAGGAAGTGTTTCTGGCTGCACTTCCATTTCAAGGGAAAGATATGAATGGCATTTGAGACATTTGTTTTAAATTACTGAGCTTGTTCAGCTCAGATCAACTGGCACTCAGGTTGCCCAGGTGAGGCAGCTTTTTATAGAGAGGTGCTGAAAAAAAAACGCCACTTCATTGTCAGCTGTCACAGTGACATACATGTCAGGATGTCACCTGGCATAAGAGCGGTTGTTTACAGACTGAGCTTACTGTATACCCAAATAGTGTGTTGGTGTATTTATGTCTTGCTCTTGGACAGGGCCAGGGCCAGAGTGAGGCAGGCAAGGTACAGAGGGGAAGTTGCTCCCCCTTTGTGCTGCCCTGAGAATTCGTCGTCCTCGGACTTTGCTGTTGGCCTCATTCTTCTCACTCTAACCCACTGGGCCACTTCAGAAGAGCTAGGCATTCACAAAGAGGCAGGAGAGCAGGAAAGCAAGGTGCATTCTTCTGACTCAAGATCCATGCGTGTTTCTGTGGATTACTTTGACTTCCCTGTGTGTCTCTTGGGTTTGGGAGGGAAGAGGGAGCAGCTGCTCAACTGGTTAGAATCTCACTCCACGTTGCAGGCGGATGCAAGCAGGACCTGGGTAGGCTGCTACCGCTGCTGCTGGTGTAGATCCTAGAAGCCTGAAGCACTGGAAGCCTTCCTTGGCCTCTCCAGTTTTCGCTCCAGCCTTCCCCACTGCGCTCTGTGCCAGTGTGAGTTTGGCCAAGTAGGAGCTGGGGCGGGTGATGGTGTTGAACAAGGAGGTCAGGCTGGGGTTAAACGGACCCTGCTGTCTCCCAGAGGGGCCTGAGTGGGCGGCTTCCCTCAGAGCCCGGTCTCAGCTCTGGTTGGGGAAGGTCCCTCCTGGAGCCCTCCATCCCCAGGCACGGGAACGGCTGCCTGCCCTTGCCCTTTGGCCCAGGAGTGGTAGAAGAGCTCTGTTCTGTGCCCACACGTCAGCACCGTTCCATGCCCCATAACCCTTATAGGCTCCTTTCGGGATCAGTCCCTTGTCAAAAGGCCACCTTGCACCCTCTTCTTTTTAAAATTGAGACAAGGTCTTGTTCTGTTGCCCAGGTTGGAGTATAGTGGTGCCCTCACAGCTCACTGCAGCCTCAACTTCCTGGGCTCAAGTCATCCTCCCACCTCAGCCTCCCAAGTAGCTGGGAATACAGGTGCAAGCCATCATGCCAAGCTATTTTTTTTTTCTTTTTGTAGAGACAGGGTCTCACCATGTTCCCAGGCTGGTCTTGAACTGCTGGCTCAGGCCGTCCTGTGCCTCTGCCTCCCAAAGTTTTGGGATTTCAGTTGTGAGCCACCATGCCTGGCCCCTGCACTCTCTTTTATGCTCTTTCACTTGCAATGACCTGAGGGATACAGCTGGGGACAGTCACACCATGAGCTGTGCAGCAGCCTGCCCGATGAGCTCTTCAAGAAACCGAGTCTAAGAGTAAGATGGCCTCAGGCCAGGCCTGCAGGATGAGCTCCTCAGACTGTAGCTGTAAATTCTATTGAACCTCCAGGCTTGCAAATGTCCTTGGGTGGTTGACAAAGCTGGCTGTCTACAGCCTTCTTAGTTGTTCCAGTTCTGGCTTATTGGACAACATGGAAAGCAAACCTTGGTGGTGAATGTATCTGTTTCCAGAGTGGAATTCATGCCAGTTGCAGCATGGAGCTGAGAAGACAAGAAACTTCTCTAGGTCTTGTGGGCAGGAGTGGTTCCCGGTTTTCTGGGGTCCTGATGATTTCCCAGGTCCCTTTAAGAACAAGAATATAAAATTCTCTTTTGTTTGTTTTCATGTTGATCCAAATTAAAAATAGCTTTTTTTTTCATTTGATGAGAGTGTTTTATTGTTGCCGTGTTTTATCATATTTGAAGAGAAACAAAAAGTTAATTTTATGGCAATCCCAGGCTTTGATAAACAACGATTTCTGTTCTCACAGCATGTGTAGCAGTAGATAATAAGCCTGCCACCATTCAATTGAATAAACGCATCAGTTGACAGTAAGATCAATAAGAGATATTAAACCCTTTTCCCAAATACACACACACACACCACACACACACACACACACACACTCATATTCCACAAAGGCATGTAAACTAAAATAATAAAAATAACTTTTTGATTACATAAATGATAAATGATTATTGTAGAAAGACCTTTTAAACAGTATAGAAAATTGTAAAGAAATTACAGTGATCTGGAACTGTGCTAGCCCTGTCTGTTGATGCTGTGTTGAGGCCCATGCTTCTTGCATCTCTTTGTGTGCATGAGTATATTCACCCTCACCTTTCACCTCGCGCTTCTCCACCTCCATCCCCCAGGCTCTTTATATAATTATCTTCATGGTCATAGAACTATATGGGGTTATTTGGGTAGCTACCCACACACATACATGATTGTATTTTTGTCATTGTTTATTCTAAAAAAATAGAATCCTTATTCCATGCACTTTTGCTAGGACTTGCATATCTCATTATAGATACTCCTCGAGCCTTTTGGCATAGATCTAGCAGATTCTTTTTCTGTTAGATCTATGCCAAATGAAGCATAGATGATGCGTGTTAAACATACAGAAAAGAAGATATTTTACAGAAAACACCCTTATGCCCACTACCTCGATTCTACCATTAACCTATTACTTATACTTATTTTCCATCTATCCATCTCTGTAACCATCCAATCCATCTTATTTTGGGGGAATGTATTTCAAGGAAAGTTGCAGACTTCTCAGCATACTTCCCCCTAAACACTTTGCACACATGCCATTAGCTAGTGTTCAATATTTTTTTCCTTCAAGGTAAATTTTATTTACATTCTAAAGCACTAATATTGAGCAAATTATTTGATGAGTTTGGATGATGGCATACATTTGTGTAACCGAAATCCCTATTGAGATACAGAGCAACACTATAACCCCAAAAGGTACCCTTGTGCCCCCCCACCCAATGAATTCCCAATTCCCCCACCCAGGGACAAACTGTATTCTGATGTTTCCTACCATAGATTAGTTTTGCTGCGTCTAAAACTTCATATATATCATATATGAAGTCATGATATATATGAAGTCCTTACAATATCAGGGTTTCTTCCCAGCTTTTTCTCCCCTTGAGCAGTATTCCATTTTATGAATATACCACACTTAGTTTGTTCATTCTCTCATTGATAGACACCTGGGCTGTTTTCAGATTGGTGCTATTATAGAGAAAGCTGCTATACAACTCACTCTTTTTAGTGACTATATAATATTTCAATGTATGCATTTATAAAATTTATTCAAGTATCTATTTTGATATTTATTTAGTCCTCTCTTTCTTTCAAAACTTTTTGGCTACTATGCGATTGCTATGATGTGAAAATCTTTGACCCATGATGCTTTTATTTTCATAGACTAGATTTTTGGCAGTGGGCTTGCTAGGTTGAACAGCATGTATTTCTCTAGGCTTGTTTGAATAGATGTTGTCATGCTTTTGCAGCAAGGCAGCCGCTGCTGACATTTCCAGCAGAAGTCTGTGAGTGCTCCTAACCAGCTTCCCTGCTGGTGCAGTGTCACCAAGCTCAAATGTTTTTCCTTGTTGAGAGTTACTCATTTTCATTTTCCTAAGTACCAATGGAGCTGAGCATTTTTTTATATGTCTGCTGACCATTTGGGTATGTTCTGCAAATCACTTCATTTCTTTTGCCCATTTTACTTTTAGGTTGTATGTCTTTAACAATCTGTGAAAGCTCTGTGTATATTATGGACAATTACCTTTATCTACAGATAATTCCCTTTAAAATGTGCAGTACAGATATTTGTACCCAGTGTATCATTTTTCTTTTGATTTTATTAGCACTATATTTTTATCTTAGATATTTAATTTTTTTCTGTAGGCAATCAAGTATATATATAATTATACTCTCTATATAAATACATCCTCTATAAATAAATATATGTGTATTTCTGTATACCTTCTGAGCTCCTACCACCTTTTTTTCTTTTCTTCTGTTTTGCTTGCTTGTTTGTTAAAAGATCTACCTATTCTCTAGGTCATATGTATATTCTCCTAAAATTTACTCTAAATTACTGTTATTGTTAATTACTTTTTTTTTAATACTTAAACCTTTACTTCCTTTAGTGTTAGTTTTCCATGTAGTGTGGGTGGTGCTTCAATTCTCTTTTGTTCCAGATGGAGAGCCATTTGTGCCAACATCATTCATTTGATAAACTCTACCCACCAAACTAAAATACCAACTGTACCATTTATTACACTCTCATGTAAATCTAGATCTGTTTCTGGATTCTCTGTTTTGTCTCATTGGCCTGTTTGCCTTTCTCTAGATCTGTTTCTGGATTTTCTGTTTTGTCTCATTGGCCTGTTTGCCTTTCTCTAGATCTGTTTCTGGATTTTCTGTTTTGTCTCATTGGCCTGTTTGCCTTTCTCTATGTCAATATCATTTATAGTGACTTTCTTGTATGTCTTAGTAGCTGGCAAGGCAACCCCTTCACCCCCCAAGTCCTAAAACCTTTTATCTTTGTTATCTTTGGGCACTTACTTTTCCATATGAACTTTAAGATAACTGTATTCAACTCACATTTCCCCTGAATCCACTAGGATTAAATTGAAATTATATATTAATTTTTAGAAATATTGACATTTTATAATATTAAGCCTTCTTCCTTCAATAAGATTTTACAGTTTTCTACACATACCCTGAACAACATTTCCTATCAGATTTTGTCTTCTTTTATAGACTTATTCCCTGTTATGAATTAGCATTTCCCTAATATCAATTTTTAGATCTTTAATATCAGTATAGAAAAAATGTTAATGATTTTCATATGTTTATTGTGTACATAGATCCTTACCAAATTCTTCAATGAATTCTAATGGCATTCCCCACCCCCCCCTTTAAGTGCTGAATTTTATGTGTATAAAATCGTATTACTAGCGAAAAAAAAGGTATCTATACTCTTCCAATGCTTAAATGTACTGTTTTCTTTCCTTATGTCATTTTCCAGACTGCTAAAACTATGCTGAATAGCACTGGTGATGGGGGAACCCCTGCCTGTTCCTGATTTTAGTGGAAATGACTTTAGCTTTTAGCATTTTTCCACTTACAATCATGGTGGTAGTTGGATTTGGGTAAGGATCCTCTATTATATATAAAATATTCCGTTTCTATTTCCATTTAACTGAGGCTTTGGTAGAAGCAGCTGTTTCAGTTTTATAAAAGTTCTTCTGGTCTCAGTTGGTATGTTTATATGATTCTTCTTCTTGTGGATATAATAAATTATGTTGATATGTTTTCTCATAGTGAGCACCGGGCCATTCTTGGTGTAAAGCTGACTTGATGAAACTCTGTTCTTTTTAGATGCTGAATTTCATGTTAATTTTTTATTCAGAATTTTAGCACAGTTTTTACTCATAAAAGATATTTATTTATAGGGTTATCTTAGGTACTACACTAATTTTTTTATCAAGTTTTGTTATTAAGAACACATTAATTTTAGAGAATGAGTTGGGGAAATTCTCATACACAAATACGTATTACGTTAAAATTAACCGTAAAGAAATATTAGTAGGACTTAGCTTTGAAGCCAGCTGACTCTGGGATCTTTTTCAATGGTAGGTCTTTAATCATTCTTTAAATGTCTCCTATGGTAGTAATATATTAAAATTTTTTCTTCATTCATGGGGAGATGTTGGCATTTTGTATTTGCTAGAAAATTACAATTTTTTTGTAGATTTCAACTTCATTGCCTCAGAGTTACACATGCTACTGACTTATTATTCTTATAATCCCTTCCATATTCGTATTTTTTCTTCCCTGTATGCTCCCCCTGTTTATGCTCCCCCTGTTTATGCTCCCCCTGTTTATGCTCCCCCTGTATGCTCCCCCTGTTTATGCTCCCCCTGTATGCTCCCCCTGTTTATGCTCCCACTGTTTATGCTCCCCCTGTTTATGCTCCCCCTGTATGCTCCCCCTGTTTATGCTCCCCCTGTATGCTCCCCCTGTATGCTCCCCCTGTTTATGCTCCCCCTGTTTATGCTCCCCCTGTTTATGTTCCATCACACCCATGGAGACCTATTTTAATTCTTTCCAAATAATCACCTTTAAAATTTATATTTTCTACTACTTTTTTCTTATTTTTATTAATTTCAGCAAATGTCTTTATTGATTCTCTCTACTTTTAAAAAATTTTGGCTTTATTTTCATAGCCTTTTTTCTAATTTCTTAAGATCAAGTAGTTAGTACTGCTTTAGCTATATCTCTACATATAAATATATCTAGAGAGCAATTATTGGATTGCTTTCTACATGTATTTAATTTTAAGTTCAAGTTCTAATTTTATTAACATGATTATGTAGAAAGATATATTTTGGTTCCTAAGTAATTAAACTATTTTTGCTGTTCTTTTTATTGTATTTTTCTAATTTTATTGCATTATGATGAGATACTATCTTGTCCTTTTAAAATTGATGTCTAATTCTCTGAGGAGTGTGTTAAATTCTTCTATAATTTTTTTTTGGGGGGAAACACATGTTTGTGACTGTTATATAGTCTTAATCTTGCTTAATGTTTTAAAAAGCCCTTTAAATACCTTTAAACTACTTCTTTCTTGAAATTAATGTTGTGATTCCTGCTTTCATCTTGTTGCCTTTGTCTGAAATCTCTGCCCGCCCCCTGCTACCTCTCTGCTCATGTGTTCTGTCCATGTTTAAAGGCTAGCCTTGTGCATCAACATTATAACAAGGTAACATACAGATATGCATCATAAATTCTTCCCAGAACAAGGAGGAGAGTGAATGTGAAAGGAAGAAAGAGAGGAAGAATGAACAAACCAATCAGCCAATAATGGAGGGAAAGGTAGAGATTTAAGCATGAGGCCAGGCAAAGCATATAATAGGCAAGATAACTGAATATGCTCTGAAGTAAGCATCTTTTATTTATTTGTCCTGGTTCTCACTTCAAACCAGGCCTTTGTTCTTCTATAAAATAGTTATTAATTTCCAATATATGTTCATACACACATATACACAATACATCTGTCATCCGTATGTATTGTATATAATTTATACATATTTTGAGAGAGGTAGAATAAGTGCTATCTCAATTTAGCAGTCAGTCCCTATAAAGGATCTCATGAAGAGGAAGACCAATTCAAGATGGGTTCCAGTTTGTGGTTTGAACTTGTACAGTTCAGTTGGACCAAACTGAACATCCAATAAGGTGTGCTGGGAAATGTTTAACAACCAGCTCTGGGGCATGGGTGGAGGTGAAACACCCTGAGTTGTGGTGTTCGTGGATTTCTATGGTGTAAATGCTGGTCAACTTCAAGCTATCTATGTGATGTCACTGGACATGGAGTTGGGGACACAGCATTAAATCCAGTGGAAATTTAGATGTTTTATTCCCCAGGATAAGTTTCAGGGGGAGTCCCTGACTCCTGTTTCCACCAGCAGCCAGACCTTACTAGACTAGTGGGCATTACTAGATGTGGGCATGAAAATAACATGAACTACCTGATGGACAAGCTTCCCAGACACATTCCTGTGGTTCTCCAGTTGTTTTGAGCAATTTAGTCACCACTTTAAGTTTCTAATTACAGAGTTTTGTTTTTATTTTTAAAAACAATGTGGTCTCGATGGAGGTAATCTCTTTAGTGTACATTCTCTGCATTACTCACAATCTTTTCTTAACAAATACGGAGTAGTTATAGTCTGCCTATCCTGACACTTCAGAGAATTTAATTTTAATGCTGGAAAGAGTTGCAAAGGTGATTTCTTATTGCATATACTTAAGGAGAGTGCTAAGGAAACGAAGTAGGTTGCGTGAGGACCCAAGGCTGGTTATTATCAGAGTTGAGACCTAGAACATATGTATTTGAATCTCAGTTTGTTCTCTTTCATTCTATTCACCCAATTTTAATATGATTTAATTTATATGGCTGTAGGGGCAATTAGGCTACTAATTTATGCTAGGAAAAACACCTATCACCTCAATAGGAAAATATCGGCCTAGAAAAATTAACTTTAAATGTCTTTTCATAAAGTTTGAGTTACATAATGAAGAAAGCAGGATTGGATTGAGATTATTCTGATAAAAAAAAAAAAGATGGACATTCATTAAACATCTCATCTGCCAGGCATCACTCCAAGTGTTCTGTGTATCTTCTTTCTTTGAATCCTCACTTCTGTCTTAATGGCCTTATTTCATCCAATGAGGGGACCAGGCACAATTACATAATTTGCCCAAGGTTGGTGTATTAGTTTGTTTTCACATTGCTGTAAAGAACATCCCTGAAACTGGGTAATTTATAAAGGAAAGAGGTTTGATTGACTCATAGTGCTGCATGTTTGGGGAGGCCTCAGGAAACTTACAGTCATGGTGGAAGGGGAAGTAGGCACCTTCTTCACAAGGTGACAGGAGAGAGAAAAACGAAGGAGGAGATTCTGAACACTTATGAAGCCATTAGATCTCATGAGAACTCACTCACTATTATGAGAACGGCATGGGTGGGGGGGAGCTGCCCCCATGATCCAATCACCTCCCTCCCTTAACACATGGGTATTACAGGTCCCTCCCTCCACATGTGGGAATTCCAATTCGAGATGAGATTTGTGTGGGGACACAGATACAAACCATTCAGTTTTTCACACAGCCAGGAAGTGGCTGAGCTGTCGTTTGACCCCACATGTCCTCTTAAACCACCACACTGTCCAATGTTAAAAGGTTTCATTGAAGGTGTCAGCGTTGGTACTTAGAGCTTCAGTAACATATTAGGATAAAGGAAAAAATCCCTGGACATAGGATGCTTCGGGGCAGGAGTCACATTCTCTACACAAGTGACTTTTGAACAGGCCACAGAAGGCAGTGCCTGCCCCAGAACAACCCAGCCCCATGTTTCCATCAAACAGTTACTGAAACTCCAGAGTTACATAGAGGTCGGAGGATGAGAGAGACGTACAATCTTGTGTGAGATTTGCTTTATTCGCTGCCACCCTGTTTTTTAAAAATGGTGCTTAATTTTTTTTTTGAGATGGAGTCTCGCTCTGTCACCCAGGCTGGAGTGCAGTGGTGTGATCTCGGCTCACGGCAACCTCTGCCTCCCGGGTTCAAGTGATTCTCCTGCCTCAGCCTCCCAAGTAGCTGGGACTACAGGCATGTGCCACCACACTGGGCTAATTTTTTTTGTATTTTTTTAGTAGAGACGGGATTTCACCATGTTAGCCAGGATGATCTCGATCTCCTGACCTTGTGATCCGTCCACCTCAGTCTCCACAAGTGCTGGGATTACAGGGGTGAGCCACAGCGCCCGGCCAGTACTTAATGTAAAAGACAGTCTTAATCAACAACAAGTTGAGTGAAAGATTAGGTTGTCGATCTTGTGGCTGACAGTGTTTCTCCTATTCTTGCATCAAATAGAATCTGAGAAATGAAGCACTGGTTTTCTCAAGCCAGTTTCTTCTCAGACACAGGAAGTTCAGCAACCATTTGATAATAGAAGCAAAGATGCCTTCGGATGGGATGGCAAATAAATCACAAAAGTCTTGGACTCACAAGTGTGTTTCTGGCTTGTGTATTTGTTCTAATTAATTTTCACGAATAAGAGTAAAAGAGCACATATAATATATTTAACATACAGAATAAAGGATGATAATAAAACAAATGCCTGCAGGAATTCTAATAGAGAAAAGGTAAGAAAGAAGGTTTCATGATAATAAGAACAAGCAAAAGCTTTGGGACTGATATAAAAAGGTGATTAAAATGGAAAGTAGGAAGAAATAAACAAACCAGCAAACAAATAACTCCTATTAGGTGATACCACTACTCTCTAGGGCAAAGGTATTTCCAGACATTTCCAGGTGGCTCCAAGGGAATGTGACACTCATGTCAGAATTATAGGGCGGGTGGGTTGGTAAAGGTGATTGGCAGTCAGTCACAGGAACAGGGACGAGGCCGTGGGGTGGTACTTCTAAGAGCCAAGGGAGGAAGAAAGCGCCTTAGTTTCCAGGGGAAATGAAATTCCCTTAGAACTGTACTTGGCCCTGCAGCTGGCCAACCGCAGGGTCTTGGATGTCTCTGGAGGCTCAGGCAGGGAAGAAGGTGCCATTTGTATGTCAGTAGCTGTCTGAGGAACTGAACATGCATACCTCTCTGGCCTGTGTACTTCAGTGTGGTACTGTGATTGATCAAATAGTAGGAGATTTAGCAAATAAAGAAGCCCAGCTAAACTTGAATTTCTGATGAAATAGAGATGTTTTTATTTTTAGTATAAGTTCCATGTGATATTTAGAACATACTTATACTAAAAAGTATTTATTGTTGATCTGAAATTCATATATAACTGAAGGTTCTGTGTTTTATCTGGCAACTCAACTGTGTACAGCAAAAAACACTGACATTTGGATGAGGCCAGAAATATTCTGGGCAAGTTAAGCTCTCAGAGGCTCGTTTTTCTGTAGAGTGATCCGAAGGTGATCTAAGTGGTAAGGCTGTGGTGGAGACTGAATGACAGGTCAAAGCATGATTGTGGGGCTGGTGCATAGCTGACGCTTAGTAGGGCCACCTCCAGCGGATGGGCACATCAGGGTGCAAATGAGATGAGAGGCCTGGAAAGATTCCGGCTCTGCTCACTGGTGCGCGTCCACACGGGCAGCCTGGACCGGGCTCACTGCTGCTGTTTGCTCCTCCAGAGACTGGAACAGATGCAGAGTGCTGTCTTCCTTCTCTTCCCTTTGTCTCTTGACCTCTTTCCTTCCTCCCTTCTTCCTTCCACAAGTGTCTATGTATCAGGGGCTGGGATAGAGTGGGTGCTGGGATAGAGTGGGTGCTGGGATAGAGTGGGTGCTGGGATAGAGCAGGTGCTGGGATAGAGCGGGTGCTGGGATAGAGCGGGTGCTGGGATAGAGTGGGTGCTGGGATAGAGTGGGTGCTGGGATACAGTGGGTGCTGGGATAGAGCGGGTGCTGGGATAGAGTGGGTGCTGGGATAGAGTGGGTGCTGGGATAGAGCGGGTGCTGGGATACAGTGGGTGCTGGGATAGAGCGGGTGCTGGGATGAAGTGGGTGCTGGGATAGAGCGGGTGCTGGGATGAAGTGGGTGCTGGGATAGAGCGGGTGCTGGGATGAAGTGGGTGCTGGGATACAGTGGGTGCTGGGATAGAGCGGGTGCTGGGATACAGTGGGTGCTGGGATACAGTGGGTGCTGGGATAGAGCGGGTGCTGGGATAGAGCGGGTGCTGGGATACAGTGGGTGCTGGGATACAGTGGGTGCTGGGATAGAGCGGGTGCTGGGATAGAGCGGGTGCTGGGATAGAGTGGGTGCTGGGATACAGTGGGTGCTGGGATAGAGCGGGTGCTGGGATGAAGTGGGTGCTGGGATAGAGCGGGTGCTGGGATAGAGTGGGTGCTGGGATGAAGTGGGTGCTGGGATAGAGTGGGTGCTGGGATAGAGTGGGTGCTGGGATGAAGTGGGTGCTGGGATACAGTGGGTGCTGGGATAGAGCGGGTGCTGGGATAGAGTGGGTGCTGGGATACAGTGGATGCCAACGGACAGGGCTGTTGTTTTCCAGCTCCCACAGCCTGGCGAGGGGAGAGGGGGCAGAGAATAAACACACGGCTAATTAATTACCAAATGGCTCGATCTTCTCTTGAAAAAGTTCGGTGGGCTGTGGGATGGTGTAGCTGACAGATCCCTAACCTGGTGGAGGTGGCTGTAACCTGATTGGAGTTAAAGGGACAGGAGCCATCCGGGGAAGCCTTAATTTCCCAGTTGCCGAGATCTGCGGAAACAGTGCAGCGGCTGTGAAACCAGCCAAGTGCAGACTAGCCGGGACTTTACATCACTCCTGCCTTTCTGGCAGCCCAGCCTGGCTGACCCTCACTCCCCTTGGAGACCCTGGGCAGGGCCTTCCCAGGTCGGAGAATTGCCCTCCTCAGACTCCTGGGACAGAGATTCTTGGCTTGGCCAAGCTTTAGCCAGGCTCCCGGGCCTTCCCCTAAGCCCATCCGTGCACTTCCTCATAAAATCCAGCTTTAGCAAAGAACATTGCTAGGCTAGCTTAGCCAGAACCTTCCTCCTTTGATACATCATCACCCTCCATACCCGATTGGGCTCCTCATTTTTCACCATCCCCGGGGCTGTCTGATCACCCTGCCCTGCCTTTAGCAAGAATCCTGTGAGGTCAGTTCAGTCAGAATTCCCCTGACCCCTGATGTCTCCTCAGCCATTTTCCATCCACTGACCCAAACCTGCTCCTTTACTATAAATCCCCACTTGCCCAGGCTGTATGAAGAGTTGAGTCCGGTCTCTCTCCCGCGCTGCAGGACCCTGTTACAGTAGTCCCTAACCCTATGGAGATGGCCCTGAATAGTCTTCCTCACTGAGCTGCAAAAAGCGTCACGGAGCAATTTCTTTCTGAACACCTGTTCCTGCGACATTGGCATTCCCTCAGCTGTACCCTCGGCTTCCTTCTTTCTCCCCTGCCCTCTCCCTGGGGTGGTCATATCCTCTCGTGTGTCTCCAGGACACCCCATAGGTCATGGCTCCCAGATCTAAACCCAAACCCACAACCTAGCCCTGAGCTCTAGACCTGTGGCACTGACTTGCCTCTGGTGTCTGCGGCCGGATGTCCCACGGGCATGAAAGGTGAACCACTCCCCAGGTTCTGCTTGTCCTCCAGCCCGTCGCCCTCAGTGAATGCCTTCATCATCTAGACAGCTGACCAGGCCAAAAGACTGGAAGCCGACAGTCTCCCTGCTCTTGACCAATGCAAGCATGTCCTGAGAATCAGCTTGCTTCTGTTTCTGGGCCACTCTCCCTGTTCAGGTCAATTGACTTCCACGTGGATGCCTACAACAGCTTCCTCGCTGCTCCCCAGCTGTCAATATCATTCTCTGAGTGTTCCTCGAGGACTCTCCTGAGATTCATAACTGAGCCTTCTTCCACAGCTCCAGAGAGGCTTGAAAATAAAGGCCGGAATCCCTAAAGTGGTGCCAGGCCCTCCATGGTCTCATCTCTGCTTACAGCAAACTGTATCTCTTCCACTCACACACACTCCTCCAGATCACCAAGCTCTTCCAGGTCTGTCAGGCTTTCCACATTTACCCTCAGACACACCTCAGCAAGTGTTCTAATTTGGGAGATCACTATTGCTGTGCATTGCACTGTATGCTTATGCAGAGGAAACACATTCAGTGATCCCCTCGATGGAAATGAAGCTTGGCAATGCTTTTAACTGACACCTGAAAGGAGGCAGTGGATGGGAAATAAGCCCTGCAGATCATGTTAGGGAGCCACCCCTGCAGTGTGCAGATGGATCCAGTCTCCATGCTTGACTGCACAGAAGTTTCGGGGACCTGCCCCTGGCTGCAACCTGTGCTCGAGTCACAGGTACGGAGGTGAAAGCAAGCCCCTACCTGAAAGGTTGCAGTCCAGCTGCAGGAATCTGACAAAACCCAGACAGAGTCTGAGATTGACCATGGGAAGGTGAGAAGGAGCTAGCACAGCTGTGTCCATGGGCCAAGAAGGCCCAAATTACACGGGACTGTAGGGCAGTGGGTGAAGCTCCGGGAAGGCTCAGCGGAGAAAGAGTGCCCGGAAGTGCCTCTGAAGGGCTTCTAGCAGTAGGTCTCCACTGCTGAGCCTAAGATCACCAGGGAAAGTTTTTATGAATCTCAGTTCTGTCCCCCACCCCTGACCAGAGGTATTGCTTCAGCAGGACAGACTTGATGTGGGGCATGCACCTGTTTAAAAAATGCCCTAGGTGCTTCAAGTGCTTATGCTGGGCTAAAGAACCACAGGATCCTTAACAAGGGGAGCCAAGGAAAGAGCACTAAATGCAGAGGCACGGAGGGAGCAAAGGCTCAGCAGCCATGTCGGGGGAAGGGTGAGCAGCCCATCTGGCTGGGGGAAACTGGGGCGGAGTAGTGCTGGAAGGCAGCAAGGAGCTGTGTGCTCCACAGTTCTGGGGTGCTAATGAGGAACCTGCACTTCTGTAGCTGGGTAGAGACGGATTGGTGTTAAGGGATCAGAGCTCTAATGGAGGGGCAGCCCCCGGCCTGGTGATTGCCATGGCTGGGGTGAGGAGGGAGAGCGGCCACAGCACTGAAGTCCAGGTGAGCAAGGCGAGAGAGCCTCACCTGGGAGAATGCCAGCGTGGGAAGCTGGGGAGATACCCTGACATCAGCAGGCTTCTAATCTTCACCCTGGCTGCAAATTAAGCCCACAATTAAGAGATAACACAGAAGATGTGTTGAGAATGAGCAGCTAATCACGTGGGAGATGTGAAGAGAGCATGAGATCAAAAGAGCCTCAGAGGAAGGTAAAAACCTCACCACAGGGCTTCAGGGGCAGGGAATGCAGCTTTGACCTTCAGCACATTGTTATTCAGACTATCATTATTACTAAGAAACGATCACTCATCCTTAAATGCGTGATTTGAAAAATATTGTTTTCCTTTTATTCTTAAAAATCTTGTATAGGGACAACTCTATTTTGCCAAAGCCCATTGCACGCTGTAGTTTAGATTAGGCCCCCAAATTTGAACAGGTGGAAAAGCTCTGCACGTGGCCACTCTTTCATGTGGGATTTGAGATGCAGGGTAGGCCTGGGGGCGGGGGCTGTACCTTCTGATGCATGGGGGCCAGTTCTGCTCGTCACCTGTCTGGGTCTCTGAGGTCAAGATGGGGATTTAACTACTCCGATGACTCAGAGATTTTGAGCTTGTGTTTTTTCCACTGGAAACATGAAGTTCCAGAAAAAGAAAGTCCCTCTAATAACAAAAGCTTCCCGGAGCCTCACCCACTCCCTACAGTCCAGTGTGATTTGGGCCTTCTGGGCTCATGGACAATTGCTCCAGAGTATAGGAACTGGTCTGCAAGAGATAAGAAATACCAGGAGAGCCAGGCTTCTGGCCGGGGCGTCATGCTGGTCTGGGGTTTGGAGATGCTCAGGTGGAAACTTACAGAGGCAGAGAGGAGGACGTGGAGGCCATAACATGGGGGCACAGGCACTGGCCCTCTGCCTGGTCCATGGCTGTCTCTGCTTTCCCTGGAGAGCCAGGCTTCTGGCCAGGCATCATGCTGGTCTAGGGTTTGGAGATGCTCAGGTGGAAACTTACAGAGGCAGAGAGGACGTGCAGGCTATGGCATGGGGGCACAGGCACTGGCCCTCTGCCTGGTCCCTGGCTGTCTTTGCTTTCCCCGCTCCCCTTCGTTACCTGGTAGCACGGGCTTGAGGAGGGGCTGGCTGGAGCGGTGGGGGGTCTGCTGTGCTCTGGGTGCCGCTCCTCCCCTCAGTGGCACCATTTTGGCCTCTCATGGTCATTCTGGCCAACACCAGGCAGCACAGCACAGCAGTTCTGCACATTGGCACCTACCATATCTGGGCCTGCCCTTCTCCTCTGCCACCCACTATCTGGTACGACCCTGAGCAAGTTACACAGCTTCCCGAGAGAGCCTCAGCTTCTCTGTCTCCCTTTGTGAAGATTACAAGAGAAATATATATGAGATGCATGTCACTTTGTAGACACTTGATGGATTGTAGCTTTGTTAGTAGCGGCATGTTCTTTTTCTGGAACTTGATGTTTCAAGTGGAAAAAACACAAAAGCTCAAAATCTCTGAGTCATTGGAGTAGTTAAATCCCCATCCCTGGGCCCAGCCACTTCCTTTCCTCTCCTCTTTCACATTCCACAAAGTGGCAGATCAAAGTGAAGTTGCACCCAGGGACATAGGGATTAGGGAACCCATTAGTGAAAAACTGAGGTTGCAGCCATACGATCCTGATGGCCGTAGGACAGCGAAGGCGAGCCCGTTGGGAACAGGCCTTGCGTGTGGTCATTGGCGTGGAGTATGAGCCGTCATCACTGCGGTATTCTGTGGGCTTACTTAGCGGTCACCACACCCAGACATTGTGCCATATGAGGACATATCAAAGTCACAGGGAAGCTAGGCACAGTTTACAAAAACACAGAGCTGATGGGATTTAACTTTCCTGTGGATCCTGAGGCAGGAGGTATTGATCATAAAACAACCGAAACTAGTAAAGAGCTGGAGCTGCTCCAGATTTGTATGTGGTGCAATTCCAAATGCTTGGTGGCGAGGCTCCAAGGACAGGAGTAAGGATTTGGTGAGTTTTATGACAAAGAGGGCTCTGGAGAAAACAGCACCATGACTCGTTCCACAAGGCTGGGCCTGACTTTGCTAACCCCCCGAGAGAGGACAGAGGATGTTTCCCAATCCAACAGGGGACAGCTGGGGAACTCAGCTCCCCTCCCTTCCTTGGGGCTGGTCATGCTTCTCCAGGTCTTCATAACTCCCAACTGCGCCTTGTAGCTCAGCAGCAGGGGTATGAACAGTGAACAGGTCCCACCAACTCTCAACCACTGCATGTGGTGAGAGAAAAAGGCTGGGCAGGAACCCTCCTTTGATGTAGCATTAAGGAGAAAGGAGATTTAAGACTGTTCATTGTTGAAATAACTGCAGCTCTGCTCACAAGCAGTGTAATTATTAACGTATATTTACAGGCCTATGCCTGGGAGGTATATTCATGAAGCAGGGATGCATTTCACACCATCACAGTCTACAACAAAATTCAGAATGTTTTCCCGATCAAAATCTACCTGACAGTGAGTCGCATTTAGCCAGGGTGATGAGAAGTTCACTCTGCATCTTTCCCGGTAGGTTCACTCCCCTGCTCTGCAGTCGGGTGAGGCCCAGCATCCGTCTTCAGAGGCTTTGTTGGCATCAGCCATATCTGGGCTCGCACCCCTCCCCTGCCGCTTGCTAACTGCTCCTGGGAGAGCCCTGGACTTTTGTGCACATTGGGTCACACCCCGTGGTCATCTGAAGGCGAGTTCTGACGCTTACTGGCCAAGTTGTGCTCCCTGGCTGGGCTGGGGGCCCTTGACCCAGGACACAGCCTCCTGGGTGGTCCTTGCAAGTTCTTCCCCCTCCGTGGGGCTCTGCAGATGATACGCTCCAAGTCCTTACTCCCCATGGAACATAAGCCACTGTCTTCTTCTCCAGTCTTGTCTCTTCTCCCCAAGTACTTGCCCCTCTACCCTTCCTTTAAGGGAGGGTCCCACTCATCTCCCTTCCCTGGGTCTCTCTCCACTGGAGGGTAGGGGGACAAAGACCAGCCAGACATCCATCACTGGTTTTCTCATCCACTCATTCACCTGCCTATCTTTGCGCTCACACCTGGGGAACAGAGCAGAAGACAGGCCCTTTTAGTGGAGAAAAATATGTCTCTGCCCTCTGGTCTTTCCCTCCTCCCCTCTTCCATCTCTTCTCATGAGATCCTATTGCCCTGATGGGACAGCCGCCATGACCCTGGCTTTAAGGAGGAAAATAAAAAATAATAAAGCCAAGGCTCTCTTACAATGCCACTTCACAATTTGACAAATATCAGAGGATTGTGAGTGCGAGCTCCACCTGCTCCCCACCTTGTACAAACGGAGCAGGGGAAAAATGGAAGGAGGGAGGCTGACTATGAGGGGAGACCTAACTCTAACTCTAACTCCAACTCTCTCCAGAAGTCTCTGTCTTTCACTTCTGAGGCTTGTTTGCTAATCAACCATCCTTTAACACAGGTTGCCAGTAATTTTTGTTCAAATGGCTCTGACCATGCAGAAACAAGAAAACATTCAAGTGGCATTGTCTCTTAGTGCTGCATGAAATAGGAGAGTTGTCCCAATAGTTAGACATGACATGGGTGAAAGCTTGGAATCCAGGCTAGGAGTCACAGTTAGGAGAAGGTCGACTTGGCTGGAGAGTTTTAAAAAAATATCTGGGTTGGATAAGAGATCATCTGCATTCAAATAATTAGAAGTAAACATGCTGACATTCCAAACTTTCTAGATCAAATATGTAAAATCTGTTTGATGAGTTGGGTTTAGAAGACTGCTCCTCCCCCACCAAGGAAACAATAATAGAAATGGAGGAAAGTGTATGCTTTCAGAAACTCCATGGAATGATACCATTTGGTAGTAAGAGGATGGAACCAGTTCATGGTTGACTATGGTTTCAAATGCAGGTACGGTTGTATATTAACACTGAGTGCTTTGTATGTGGCAAGAATTGTTCTAAGTGTAAGTTACCTTGGTTAACATAATTTAATTATCTAACCACCCTTATAAGGTAGGTTCTATAATTATTCCCATTTTGTAGGTTAGGAAATAAAAGCACAGGAAAGTTAAGTAACTTGACAAAGACCACACACCTGGGTAAGTGGCGGAGCTGTGATTTGGACCCAGGCAATCAGAAGCCTTGCTTTTAACCACCAACCGTTGCTCTCCTGAATAGCTGGGCATCCTATTTGACTATTTTCAAACACCAGCAGGACTCCACAGAGGTGCGACGTAGAAGTGCTGAAGATCATAGATACTGTTTTTTTCCTTTTATATGTATTAAATTCCATATACTTCCCTATAATCCCTTAAGCCCTATCCAACAACAGCTTGGTTATTATCTGGAATAGTTCAGTCTTAGTGATCTTTCTCTCTGAGTGTAAACATCAAATCTTGTGCTTCATCTGGTGTTCTCAAGGGAAGCAGTGCTTCAGGAGAGAACTTGCTGAGAAAGAGAATGCGAGATTCAGGAGCTATTGTTACCCTTGTGGGAATCCCACTGTCATTGTTAGAGGCCTCGGTATTGCAATTCCTTATTCAGCTCTCCCAGGTATGAAAACACAAGGCAGCCATTAATAGATGCCTGGCCACTGCCTGGAGGCCCCACGTGAACATCCAGGACCCGTTTCTTGACCCATCTCCTTGCCCCCCACATCCTGAGCTCTGTACCCCTCAGAAAGGAGTCTAAGCACACTAAAGCTACATCTTCAGCTCTGGTGGCTTCTCCCTAAATCTGTAGGAAGCCTTTGAGGTTGAATGTTTGTTTTGCTCTTTTGAATCCTAAGAATAGTAAGTGGAAGAAGTCAGCAAGATATCTAAAGAATGCTCATTTATTTAAGTTAGCTTAATTACCTCCATTAAACTTAATTGTCATAATTGTTGCTTCACTGTCATTATTGTTTTTCCTTTATAGGAAAGGCATTGTGAGCTTTGTGCAGCTGTTTACATGGTGTTTGATCCTATTTATTTTCTCATTGCTTACTTCCTGCTCTTCAGGGATTGCATAGTTTGCTCAGGACCCTGCCCTGTCTCCAGGCTCTTTGAGGATGGGACAAGTAATTGTGCCCATCCTCAGCCTATGATGGCATGACGAAATTAACCCTGCAGACACAGTAAATCATGTAAATACACAAATATTCCCCGGAAATGTTCTCATTACTGCTAGAAGCAGCTAACATTTATTGAGACCGTAAGTCAGGTACTTTACCTATTGCCTCTGATTTAATCTTCTCAGTGACTCTTAAGTGGTAGAAATTATTATCATGATTTTGCAGATGAGGAAACTGAGGCACAATAAAACAAAGGGCCAAGGTCACAGAGTTAGGAAGTGGCAGTGCTAGGATAAAAACCTAGGTGTATTTTAAGCTTGGAGACATCCTGTTAATTTATTTACTATAGAAAGTAGGGTGCTAGGCTTTTGTTCTTTGATTTCAGGAATATGATGTAGGAGAGGAAACTATCTATATCGTTCCTGATAGCTTCACCCTTAGAAGTCCTTCTTTTTCTTTTAAAATTGTCATTATTCTAGACAGACTTTCCCCCCTATTTTTCTATATAATTTTTTCTGCTGTCATGCTTTTCTTTTTTAGGTTTTTGTTTACAACAGAAAAATATTGGTGCAAATAAAACTTTAAAAAATCGGTTATCATTGGGAATCCCCAATAAGCCAAATTAATTTCATTTAATATGCCCTTTTAACAAGGCCCCTTTTGAAATGCCCATGGATTCTTGGGGACGATAACACCTGGTTATGTTGCCTAAGTCACTTATCCAGTTATTTCATTTCCACTTAGAATGGCATTGTGAAAGCGTGAGTTTTGATGGAGGTGCAAGGTCCAGGTGTGTTCAGTGTTCCTTAGTAGGTGCCACTGGGTAGAATGAAAGTAGTTGGTACAAATGTGGGGAAAGAAGCATTTGATCATGTCCCAAAGGATATTCGTTATCTTTTTTTCCTGCAGAGATTTCTACTTTCCTTATTTCATGGATTTGCTCACCATTTCCTCTGTTGCCTGATTGGAATAATTGGGAGTCAACCTTGACTTCCCTCTCCTTGACGGCACCTACTCCCCAATCCAACCTGTGACCAGATTCTATTTACTCCATTGGTATGTCTTAATCAAACCACCTTCTTCTCCTTTCCACGTTTCCTGCTTTCCTCCAATCTATTGTCCACAGACTGTCAGAATCAGCTTTCTAGAATACAGATTTACTCAGGCTACTCCTTTCTTAAAATTTTTCAGACTCTGCAGGCCTACTGGATGAAGCCCAAACTTCTTACCATGGCAAAGGAGACCATCTGTGATCCAGCTTCTGTGCCTGGTCTGTGTCTTCTCTTATTCTTCCCTTCCTGTATTCCATGCTCTAGCCATGCCCAAGCACTGACAGATTCCCAAATGGGCCATTCTTTCTTATGCTTCTTTACCTTTCCTTATGTTGTTTCCTCTAATGAGATTCTTTTCTATTCCCCATGCCACTTACTTGCATATATCTATTTTAAGGGCAATTAACTATCACTTCTTGAATAAAATCTTTCTTTTTGACTACCCATTTCAAACAGCTGAAAAAGGCTACCTCTCCATTTTGTCTTGTTTTCTCTTATACATATTCGCTCATCATTATCATCATCATCTCAGCTCTCACCGTTGAGCAATTACTCTCCTGTAATTGATTTACCAAGTATTTATTGGGTACCTACTATATGAAGAAAGCTCTCATACATGCTGGGTGTACAGTGCTGAGAAAACCAGATATCATTCCTGCCCTACTGGACTCATATAAAAGAGACAAATCCTAAACCAACCAACAACTACAAAATGATGAATTAAAATATAACATAAAATGAAAGAATGGGGAAATAGAGGGAGAATAAGCGTAGGAGGAAGCCTACTTTAAGTGTTAGGGGAAACATTTACTGAGGAAGAGACACTTTCCTTATTTCATTGATTTACACACCATGTCCTCTGAGACCTTATTGATGAATGTCTCAAAATTACAAGCTTTTATTTCATTGATTTTCCCTACTGTTCTCTGTTTTCTATTTTATTGACTCCCTCTTTAATCCTTATTATTTCATTTCTTATACTTATTTTGAGTTTCATTTACTGGTTTTTTCTTATGTAGGAAACAGATCTTTGATTTCAGACCTTTCCTCTTTCTAATATAGATATTTTAGTGCTATAAATGTTCCTTTAAATACCTCTTTAGCTGCATCTCACAATTTCGAAAATGTATTTTTATTTTCACTTAGTTCAAAATCTTTTCTTCTTTGATCCATGGGTTATTTAAAAGTATGTTATTTAACTTATAAATATTTGGAGACTTTCCAGATATCTTTTCAATATTCATTTTTAATTTAATTTCACTATGTGCTGAGAATATACTTCGAGACTTATTTTATGGCTCAGAATATAGTTTATCATGGTAAATGTTCTGCATCCACTTGAAAAAAGTATATTCTGCTGAAATTGGGTTGACTGTTCTATAACTATTAGGTCAAGTTGATTGAGTTATTCATGTCTTCTATGCCCTTACTTATTTTTTTGTCTACCTGTTTTATTAATTATTGAGAGCACTATTGAAATCTCTGAATATAATTGTGGGTTTGTCTGTTTCTCCTTGCAATACTATCAGTTTTTACTTTACGTATTTTGAAGCTCTCTTATTAGGGGCATTTATGTTTAGGATTATTATGCAGTGCTGGTGATCTTAAGGGGTTAAACTATTTCTTCTACTGCATACACAATCTCCTTCTGATATGATTATATTCAGGACTTCAATTATAATCAGTGTTTTATATTTCCAATTGCTTTATGAGTAAATTGAGTGGGATATTGTATGGGTGTCTCAAATATAAAATAATACAAACAACACAATATCCCAGTCAATTTGCACACAACTAAATTTTCCCTACTTCCTGTGTTCTTCATGTTAGTTAATGATGACTAAATTAGCGCTTAACAGAGCCCAAATAAAGTTGGTTGAATCAGGTAGAGATTTATTTTTAATATGAAAGACATTTGGATAAAGGAAGTCCAGGGCTAGTGCAAAGGCTTAGTGGTCTTTGGGACCCCAGGATACCTCTATTTTTTCTGTTTCATCACCCCTAAAATATGGATTCCATCCACGATCTTATCTATTGATGGAAGATGGTTTTTGGAGCTCTGGCCATTGCATCCAGTTTGCAGTTAGGATGTAGAAGAAAGGTGTAGAAGGGCAGCAAATACGCACACCATTTTCTTTTTAAGGAACTTTCCTAGACGTCCCATCTAGCAACCTCTATTCGTATCTGATTGACACCCCCGAGTTGCAGGAGAGGCTGAGAAATGTGTTGCTGCCCTGAAAGAAACTGAGGTCCTGTAACTACAAAGGAGAAGTAAACATGGTGAGTATAACTAACTGACAATACCATTGTTGCTAACAATGTATTGTATTCTTAAAAATTGCTGAGTTACTTTTAAGTGTTCTCACCACAAAAATAAGTATGTGAGATAATGTATATATTAATTAGCTTGATGTAGTCATTCCACAATCTATACATATATCAAAACATAATCTACATGACAGGTATGTACAATTTTTATTTGTCAATTAAAAATAAATTGAAGAAGTAAGTAAATCAAAAAAGAAAGAAGATAGGTGAGTGGATACTGGGTTGGCAGTGCTTGAATCCCAATAATTCCCTTAGCAAAAAAATCCAGGACTTCTCACTAGTTCCTCTCTCTCTCCTTTCACATTTGAGCACATACACACAGTCATGCACTCATGCATGCAACCAGTATCTCCACTTCGGTCGTGGTATCTTGGATCCATTCCTCATCCTCTTTGCTGAACTTTTCGGGAGTTACCAGTGTCCTCCTCTCATTTGTCTTTCTTCAATACTGCTGCTAGAGATACTTCACTAAGCGACACTTTGCTAAGGTCATATTGCTCTTCTGATTTAAAAGTTTCCATTATTTCCCGCTCGTGAAAGAAGAAAATCCAAATACCCTAGATTGTCTACATCACAAACCCTTTTCTTGCATGTAAACTCTCAGAGTTCTTCTCAAGCCCATGCTCCATTTACAACACTGAGCCCAAGGTCAAGGAAGACACAGAGCTGGGGTTCTAGCTCAGGATTGTGAGCCTCCAAATCCCAAACTCTATGCGTAGGCATCTACTCCCTGAAAAGGAGGGGAAGGAGAAGAAAGTGGAGGAGGTAGTCAGCATGATCGTATGGGTTAAACAACAACTTAACACCAGAGAGAGACTCTCCGGAGAGGCACTTGGGCCTTAGGTAGGGTGCATATAAGAACCTCAACTGGGTGATTTACTGGCCTTCTTGATTTCCAACTTGACATAAAAGTAATAGCTTGGAAAGTAATATGAGATAAGGAGGAAAGTGACATCGGGGTCTATTAAAATAGTATTTGTTGTATTTTTTTTCTGATTAAAATGATACACATAAATAGTAAGAATTTCAGAAAATAAAGACAAAGAAAATATTAAATCACTAGCATTTCTACCACATAGATATAAAAGTGTATTTGTTTCATATACATACATGAGTACATGGGTATGTATGTATATTTATTTATATGGATCTTTTTCTGTATTGTAAGATTCATTTTTAAAATAAAACTGAGATAAAATATAGAAGAGATATTTAGCTTCCTTTTTGCATTGAACAAATATGGTAAACATGTTCCCATGCCTCTGAATATTTTTTGCAACTTGATTTTCAACGGCTAGATACAATTCCGTTGCATGGATGAAATAAACATTCCTTTGTTGAGCCTTGCTTCTGGTATTTGCTATTATAATGAATCATCTTGATATACCTTTTTATTTGGTGTATATCTGATTGTTTCCTTAGATAAAGAAGTAGAATTATTAGGTCAAATGATATAAACATTGTTTTATACCAACTGCCCTCCAGGAAGATTATACTAAAGTGTACTTATACCAATAAGGTAGGAGAATTTTCCCTATACTCCATATGTTGTCATTTAAAAATATTATTGTTTTAAAAACACACCTGTTTTGACAGCTGATGAGCAGGTCCCATTTCATTTGTTTGCCATTTGTATTCTTCTGGTTTGAAATGCCTTTCCAAATTTTTGTTTCTAATTCCCTTGTGGTATTTAATAATAATAATTTATTTATTATATATAAATATAAATATCATGTATTCTTTTATTATACTAATGAATAATGATATAATAATACTTTTGATAATAATGGCAGCCACAATTTAGTAAGCCTTTACTATGCTAATTTTCATGTATTTTCTTTTATAATCCTTGCAATCCTCTGAAATATATTTGATTATTATCCCTATTAATATAATAGAAGTCTGAAATTAAATGACCCCCCAAAGTCACATAGCTAGTGATAGGCAGACAGACTTGTTAGAAGCCCCGTATGTAGAATTTTAATCACTTGCCTGTCAAATTGTTCTAACTTCTCTCCTCCTGGTTTATTGTTCATCTTTTAATTTAGTTAGTGCTCCTTTCTATAGAGAGAATTTCTTTTTTTAAAATTTTATTATTATTACATTTTAAGTTTTAGAGAGAATTTCTAATTTTCTTACAGTTCTACATAGTGTCCTTTCCTTTATTATATCTTCTTTTGTGCATATGCTTAGAAACACTCCCTTGACAGGGATTGGATAGGTATTTAGTTATATTGCTTTCAATTCTTTCATTGGTAATTTTCAGTATGCCACTCTGTAATCTATTTGAAATTTATTTTGGTATATGATGTGAGTTAGGAATAGAGCCCTATACTAAAGAATCTATTTTCCTTTCTAATGTTAAAATCAAACTTTTATTATATGTGTAGCTATCATTTGTATAGAAACACATTTGTTTAGAAATGTATACATTTGTACACATTTGTATAGAAATGTGTATAGAAATATGGGTCTGATCTTCTACTTTATTCTGTTCAATTGATTGGTTATTTATTCTTACTCCAGGATCACGCCATCCTGACCTCTGCACCTTTCTAACATGTGCTGGTGTCTTAGCGGCATGCCTTCTCTTTCTTCGTTCATCAGAGTGCTCTTAGCTGCTCTTCCAGATGGTCTATAATCTGGGCTCACTTCAGAGTGGATTTCTCCCAAGGCCCCGCCTCATCCACTTATACGTATTCTCCTGCCCCATAAACAAACCACTTGGTGCTTGGTTGGCCGACCAGAATCCTTTGAGGTGTCTTTGGAGAGTTTTCTGACTTCTCATTCCTTGCCGATGCACCGTCCTGTGTAGGCTCCTCCCCGGCCCTACATGGCAGCCTGGCACCCAGGCCCTCTCAGTGTCTCTGGACACTGGCAGGCATGGCCGGGCTGAGCATCTTCAAGAGTGTTGTGGACAGGTTGTGTCGCACTTTCTTGGCATCTGCCATCAGCACTCAGCCTCAGCTTCTTCCCCAATTGTGGTTTTGGTTAATCCACCTGAGAGTCACCTTGGCCAGCATTTGGAACGGGAGGTAGCGACCTCCACACCAGCACAGATGGTATCCAGGCTATCTCAGAAATCCTCAGAGATGCCTGGAGCAACATTAAATTAGAGCTGAAAGGACCTTGGAGATAATAAATTCCAACCCCATCATTGTCCACATGAGGAAAATAAAACTTCCCTCAGAATCCCCACACCTGCCTCCTGCCCAAAGCTTTGATCCTCCTAACAGCCCCAGGTATTTATCGTGGAAGCCAGCACTGGCACCCAGGTGTTCTGGTTTCTAGCCCACAGTTGTGTCCTCAAGCCTTGCTTCCATCCTGACCTAAAGCTGTCACTGTCAATGGCAAGGGTTAAATGCATCCCATCCGCACATGGAAGAGATCGCTCCTGTGACTCCTGAAGCGTTTCCCCAGTTCAAGCACACAGCTTCAGGCTTACCCTGATTGAATCTTGGCCAGCTCACTCTCAACTAAGCCCCTGGTTCAGCCAGGCAGGAAATGACCTCATCAGGAGTGGATGAAAGGGAGCGTGACTGCTGAGCAGAGGAGATTGCTATGTGGCTGATGGTGCAAGACAGAGGCTTCCCAACAGGACAAACAGTTATTGGCTCTGGGAAACGATGTCAAATTCCCAATGACTCAAAGAGGGACAGATGTCTATATATCCATCCACAAACACTGAAAACCTTGGTTACTTTTTTCCTTCAAATTAGTTACTCACACTCCCCTTTCCTTATAGCATACCTTTCATTCCTTCTGAATGTAGAATGGTACAAGAGACAACTGATTTTCATCTAACTAGCCATTTGGGAAGATAATTAGAAAATAATGTTTGGGGAAGTAGCATATAGAATTAATTTTCGACATATGTTTACAGAGCATGAACTGTTTTATGTGCTTGGTGGATAAGTTCATGAACAAAATAAAGACCTCTACCCTTATGGATATATATTTTTTAAGAGATAGAGTCTCCCTCTATCACCCAGGTTGGAGTGCAGTGGTATGATCATAACTCACTGCAGCTTCAAATCCTAGGGATCAAGTGATTCTCCTGCCTCAGCCTCCTGAGTAGCTGGGATTGCAGGTGGGAGTCACTGTGCCTGGCTCCTCATGGAGTCATGATTTTTCTGATTTGATCTTGCTTGAGACATCTCCGTACCATTTCTGTGAGACCTGGTGGTATGAAATCGATAAGATTGTGCAGTTGGGCACTTCTCATCCATAACTGGTCATTGTATTCATATGTTCTCATGCTGCTATGAAGAAATACCCAAGTCTGGTAATTTATAAAGAAAAGAGGTTAATTGACACAGTTATGCCTGAGTAGAGAGGCCTCAGGAAACTTACAATCATGATAGGAGGCACCTCTTCACAGAGCAGCAGGAGAGAAAGAGTGCCAGCAGGGGAAATGCCAGACGCTTATAAAACCATCAGGTCTTGTGAGAACTCTGTCACTATCACGAGAACAGCATAGGGGAAACCACCCCCATGATTCAATTACCTCCCAGCAGGTCTCTCCCACGACTCGGGGGGATTATGGGGATTACAATTCAAGATGAGATTTGGGTGGGGACACAGCCAAACCATATCAGTCACTGTTGGTGATGCTTGGTTCTCTCCGGTGTCTCTGAGATTTATGATGAGCAATGGACAAATTGAACCAGGAGCAAGTGCAAGGCACATGTTCTTCAGAGCTTCACGGTCTACCTAGGACATCGTGGACCAGACTTCTCGACTGAAATGGAAAGGTTGTGCTGGTATTGCAGAAAGATTACAGATGAGGACCCCAAAAGCCCATCATAAAGTAAAATACCAAAAAGTCTTGTGTTTTATATTCAAATTTCCTGCAAATTAGGCATAGTCCTGTAAGTCATCCATACTTCAATATTAAAAACACTGGACTTGCTCTTAAAGTGAAAGAACATTTCTTAACACCCCTTCCCCTAAATCTTCAAGTGAAACTTGCTCTAAAAAGATGTTCTAGGTATATTGTATAGATTCTAATCTCCTGGTTTACCTGTGCTTATCTATAGAAGTAAAGCCTATTCTAATTAGAGAAGCATGGATGTCTGAATCTTTTACAAGACCAAATTCTGGGCACCAAAGTGAAGGGAGGTCTGGGTGAGAGTCATTATTCAACTTCGTCTGCTAGTTGTGTTGTCCCTGGTTCTGCCTGGGCCTGCATTCTCAGGATGTGTTCATCCTATAGGCAAAGGTGGAAGAAGCAAAAATTTAGAGCATTGAAGATAAATGAAATCCAATTATTTATCTTCTCAATATTCCAGCCTTCACTTACAACTTTTAGCTGTTAATTAGATATTTTACAAAAGTCTGTTTATTTTAAAGGCCCAAATGTTTGAAGACTATAAGGTCACTGTCAGTATATTTCTGGAGAAGAAATGTTTGTCTCTTGTCTTCAAGGTTGATGTTTATTAGTTTTCCCATCTAAAGACTAGGTCTGATGCCAACAAATCAGACTTTTTTTTCCTGCATCTATGATCAAGCACTTGAACATTTCCCCACGAATGTGGATGCGCCCTGGGTTAGAATTGTTTTCTGCTGTGAGCCAAGGCTGAGTTCCAGCTCTCATTTACCTGCAAGGAGGAGAGGGATGCAAAGGATCGTCAGTGGTGGAGAAGATGCCACTTTTTTGGCTGTTTTCCACAGCATTCAGATTCATATCTGAGTTCAACATGCTTTGTATGTTTTCCCCACATGCTGGGACAGGCCTGTTTTTAAAGACAAGGTTGAAGAGTGGAGAGAAGAGGCTTGTTTATGCACATGGTCATCAGTACAGCACAATCTGTCTCCAAAATGGGAAAGGTCCCCTCACTAGGGATGAGCTTCAGTTTTGGTCTGTCTCTGGATTCTCACCTACCTGATTTTCCACTCTTATCCCCCAATCTTGGGCCTGTCCTTTAACTGAAAGAAAGACACCCTTTTCTACCCTTTTGATGTTTCATCTGAATCCTTGGCAAAAGTATAGCTTATAATTTTTTAATTAAGATGCCTGTGTTTGAGAAGGTGGTGACAACTGAACTCCAGGCTCATCTGGTTTATCACATGCTCCAGGACAGGTTTGGGTCTGGGTTTCAATCAGGTCATAACATGAAGTCAGTATCTGTGATCATTGCATTATTCACAGGAGCAGAGGCTTGTGGAAATAAAGGGAGGCACTCCAGTCCCCAACACACCCAGTGTCTTTTCACTCTGTCATTGGACGGAAATTTCTCCCCACTGGATCGGGACTTGAAGATTTCGCGAGACTTGTTGCTTACCTTGCAAGAGATCGTCTTTCTCTTTGGCACCCTGAATAATTTTGACTCACTTGGACAAATAATTCAGAGTATTTACAGATACCACTTGACAGGGGATTTGCCAATACTTAGGCAAACTTTGGTTTGGTGTAACTGGTGGGCTGTCGTGCAAAGCCAGGAGGCTAGCAGTAGCTTTACTATAAGTTCCCTACCAAGGAGCAGTAACTCATTAAGTCCTTCACAACTTTTTCATTTTAGCTCCTGTTGAGTGGTAGGCAGCATGGTCCTGTGGGGTTGAGACTAGAGTCAGCTAAGTTTGATTGGGACAAGGATTGTGAAATCTGAGCCTGAGGCTCTCAGTGAAAGAGTCAGGCACAACACAGTAGAGAGAGGTCAAAGTCAGCCACGGGACAAATGGAGAGGACTGCAAATGACAAACTTATTTTGGAGAGATATGTGGTGTGCATTAGTAGGCATGGCTGAGAGTTCCCAGAGGCTGAGGCCATCCCTTTAAGGACTGAAACCATAATGTCAGCTGTTGTTGATGTTCATGTCCTACACACTGTTAAATATTGCTAAGCTTTGGGAGGAAATGTTGGCCCCATCATATGTCACAGTCAACCCGGGGCAGTCTCTGTTTATGCTGATGGTCCCAAGCTCATTATTAACAGCACCCCTTTCATTCTCAAAAGTCTACTTGTTTGGAAAGTGCCTGGTATGATCACACCAGATAAGGAAAGTGGATGTTGCTGCTTTCTTTTTACATATCAGAGATACCTCAAGCTTTGAGGTGCTCCTCTCCCAACTTTAAGGCTCTCTTAAAATATCTTTTTATATCTTTAATATGCTCACATTTTTCTCCACCTTCTTGAACATATGGAATGTAGTTATAACTGTTTTGATGTCCTTGTCTACTAACTCCTGCATCTATGTTATTTCTGGGTCTGTTTATGTTGATCAGTTTCCCTCCCGCTCATTGTCCATTATGTTCCCTTGCTACTTTGCATGTCTGGTAATTTTTGAGTGGATGGCCAGATGTAATTTTTATCTTGTTGGATGTCAGATATTTCTGTATTCTTTTAAGTATTCTTGGTCTGTTCTGGGACATACTTAAGTTGCTTGGAAACAGTTAATCTTTTTGAAGTTTGCTTTCAAGCATGGTTAGATGGAACCAGAACAGCCTTTGGTGCAGGGATTTTTTTTTTTCCAAGTCAGATGGGTGATGTGCCGACATCATAACGAGGTTTGAGGGAGGCACATCTCACACATGAGCAAAAAACCCAATCATCACACTTATGAACCACAAAAGAACCTGGTCTAGGGGTACTTTTTTCCTTTTGAGGGCACGACCATGTATTACAAGATTTCTCCACTCTGCTATGGGGACATCAAAGTTCCTTGCCCCTAGCTCAGGGATGATTCCACCCACTCACTCCTGATGGGTGCAGCTTCTTCACATCCACACCCTGACCAGTACTCAGCTGAAGAGTAGAGGAACCCCCTTTCCATCTCCAGACTCTCCTTCTGTGCAGGTCTCTCTGTGCAGCTCTCTTCCCTGTGAAGCTCTCTTTCCTCCATTACTCTCCTCTACGGGGTTAGCCAGAGTGTCTCCCTGAATTCTCACTTGTGTCCATAAACCAGTAGGCTTTGTTTAGATTCCATCTTTTTGCACCATCACTTAACTGAAAACGCTGTCCACCTGGTAAGCCGGGGCATCTCAGGGCTCACCTTGCTTGTTCCCCCTTTTCTCAGGAATCTCTGTCCTCTGCTGCCTCTTTTCCAGTGTCTGAAATTATTTAAAATTATTTCCATTTGTTGTTGTTTTTTAAGGTAAGAGGGTGAATCTGATCCATGTTACTCCATCATGGCCAGAAGTGCAAGTCCTGAGTATTGGGCTGTTTCAGCTTCTGTATCTTTGGGACTAATGCATTCTCTTCTCTAATTTCAGTGTCAATGTATCTTCTCCCTCTGCACTGGTTTTGCTAATGGTCAACACCTTAGCAGCTATTGCCTTAGATCCTCTTCTTTACCATCTTCTGTTGTTCTCTTCACTTGTTTAGTTCTTGTCTAGTTTCTCCTCTCATTCTTCCCAGCTTTTGCACAAGGTGGCTGGTCCTCCACAGATATCACCATCTGTGGGATCAGACCATAAATTTCTTTTTAGCAGATCCCACTGACAGTCCATTGGCTTCCACCTTCCAAATGTCCACATTTTTTGCCTGCATTTATTTTTGCAACAGTGTTCTGCCACTGCAGCTTCACCAGCAAAACAGCTATGGCCAGCCTGTCTGTCTGTCTGTCTGTCTGTCTGTCTGTCTGTCTGTCTGTCTGTCTATCCATCTGTCTTTCTATCATCTATGTATTGCCTATCTATTTCATCTATTATCTATCATCTGTCTATCACCTATCATTTATCTATACATCGTCTATTTATCAATCATCTATTTATTCTATTTGATCTCTGTATCTATCATCTATTATCTATCATTTATCCATCATTTATCTGTCCATCATCTATCAATCATGTATCTATTCAATTTCATCTATCATCTATCCATCATCTACTTACCAATCATCTATTTATTCTATCTTATCTATCCATCCACTGCCTATCTTTTCATCCATCCATTTATCCATTATGTATTTATCTTTCATGATTATTATTTTTACCACTGCTTCTCCCTGGCTGAAGTTGTTGTGCATGGAGGAAAGCTCCAGCAGGCTGGTGTCACTTTTTGTTAAGGGTTATCACCAGAGTGCAGTGCAGGGTGTGCCCATTTTCACCAAGGCTTTATGCCAGACACTGTTAGACCTGGGATATTTACGGATTAGTTTACCCTTCAGCTGATGAATCCATTTGTCCCTTTAGGCAATTAAATATTTCAGTTATGATCTTTATGTTATTTAAATCGTTGAGATCAGGCTTCCTTTTATTCCTCTTAGTTCCCTGTTGAAGTCCCAAACTCTGAAAACATAACAGATCATCTGTCTCTCACAATTGTTAACATAATAGATCATCTGTGTCTCACAACTGTTAAATGTGCCTATAAACAAACTCTCCCCGATGTATGGTGTCCCTTTTTGCTTTCCTTTCTTCTTTTCTAGATTAATTCATTCCACAAACTTTTATTGACCACCTATTATTGCATGGACTCTACTAGGTGATAGATACAAAGATGAGTAATCCATGTCTGTCTTTTGGGATGCTAGCTTTGAAGATGATCACAACCCAATATGGTAAGTACCACGACAGAGGGGCAGAGGTGAGCACAGGGTGCCACGAGAGGAAGGAGATGGGGGCCAAGTCCACATTTTCTAGCATTGACCTTACCTTATATAGGAGTGTGGAGGGGTTAGCAGGGAAAGAGTGTGACAGATATGGGAGGATAAGCACAAAGATGAGCGTGAAGGCCATTTGAGATAAAGTACGGAGTTTGCTTTGACTAGATTGTGGAGGCACAGGGTAGGAAGGACAAGGGTCAAAAATGGAGAGGGTGGGCAGGTAACAGATCATGAAGGATCTTATATGGCATGTGAAGACTTTTGGACTTTATACAGAAGTGTCTAGAGTCAGTGAGGTGAAAGGACCAGATTAGAGTGGAAAATGGATTATGTTGGAACAAGACTAGAGAAAGAATAACTGAGGGACTTGGTGTACTTGGTTTAATTCAGATGAGAAACAATGATGAACTAAAGGCACCACTGCTGGGTGGAGAGAGAGAGGGAGAGAGAAAGGGAGAAATGGAGAAAGATGAAATCAGGAAATATGCAAGGCAAACCTGAGAGAACTCAGTTGTAGAGGGAAGAAGATAGAGAGGAGTCCAAGTCCGAGGTGACCCTTGGGTCTCCAGCATGAATGGTTGTAAGAATACCTGGGCTATTCACTGGAATAGTGGATATTAAAGAAAGAACGTATTTGGACTACAAGATTATGAGCTAAATTTTGGATACTTTTGATATATTGAATTTGAACTGTTTGTGACATGTAACTGGAGCCATCTGAAAGCTAATTGGATGTATGGTTTAGCAGCTCAGTAGAGACTTTGGGAGTGATATAGCAGTCTTCAGCTTATAAAGGATAAGTCCAAAGGATGGTGGAGACTGGGGGTGGAGGCAGGTCACTCTCATGCAACAAAATTGCACTTGCAGCCTGTAATTACGTGCTTTCCAGATCTTTACTGTCTTATTTTCTTTTCTAAAGAGTTGTGAAAACATGACTTCTGGCATTGTCTGTCTTTGTCATTACATCTGATAGCTATAAGAATATTTAACAATGAATTAAGCAATTTTTACATTTATACTTTCAATCTGCGTATCTGCATTTTTTTCTGCTGGCTAGGGAGAAAGAAGGGTGTGCCAACTACATTCCTGCGTAAGGCTGTGTGAGGCGCTGCACCACACCCCTGCACACTCGGCTCCTCCAGTGGAAACGTGGAGCCTCAGTTATACAAGTGACCCTCACTGGCTTGTTGGGTGTTTTAGTTTTTACCCCGTAACACTGAACTTTGTTACACAGAATGTCCTGTGATTTCCCAACACAGTAGGTATCTTCCTGAGTTTCTCGACCGGTAGTTTCACATTGGTCAGAATTCCTCTGTTGGCCAAGCTTAATCTTACACATTGATTGTTTTAGTGACCTATTGATGTGAAGGTGGAGTTTTGGGACTTTACTCAGGTTTCTCAGTGCGGTGGTAGAAAATGACCTTGAAAGTGAGACAGATCTGGGGTTGATCCCAGCTCTGTGACTGACTGGCTCTGTGATGAAGGAAAGTCTCTAACCTCTCTGAGACTGAATTTCTATAGCTAAGAATCAAGGAAGAAATAAGGTTGTCATGGGGTTGTTGCAGGATCTGATGATACGCGTGAAGTGCTCAGTGCAGAGACTGAAACCTGCAGAAGAGCTTAATGAGCTGGTCATTGTCGATGTCATTTCTGTCATACTTACTCTGTGCTCTGGGGGTCAGTTTTGCTCAGTTCAACTAGCGCTTAGTGAGAACCTTGTGCTTTGCCCAGGCCTTGCATTGGTGTTCCTCCTTGGGGGTGGGGGAAGCACATTCTAAGTTTTAAGAAATGAATTAATATCCTCAAAGAATTTACCCTAAAGTTAAGTTAAATCGCCGTTATTTCCTACTTTACATTTCCTGTGGTACCCACTCCCTTCCTCCATCCAAAGGAAATATTTTAAAAGGATTTCCCAATCTTCTTTGGACTTTGGGAGAATTTTGGTCTACGGTGATGAGGCTTTCCCACTCCATGTTGCCATCTGGAATTCTTTGTTCAGGCTTTGGCCAGAAAAAACACCGCCACCACCACCAACACACTAACTTAGGAAAATAACATTTGGCAGGAACTTGGCAACAATAACCCTTTGTTGCCAGAATCCTTGTTCACAGTGTGGGTGGCTCAGATGGCACTTAATTAAATGTATTTCCCTATAAATTCTCACAGTGTGCTTATTTTCACTGATGTCTAATAACCACCCTATCTCTAAAGCAACCAAATTTCACAGCCTGCAAAACAGGGAAATCAGCCTGTGTAAATAACATATTGCTTTTGTTAGTACTCAGCCATATTCCTCATCATTCTGAGTGACAGTGGACTTATCTGTTATTATTTCCCACTGAATGCTTTGTCATTCAGTATTTTCCTACTACCTGGAGTGACTATATAATAAAAATAATACCTACTATTTTCAGTGTCAACTATGAGTCATGCACTGTACTGGGCATGTATTCATTATCTCAATGAATCTTCACCGTCTTTGTGATAGGTACCAGTATTCTCATCTAAAAGATGGGAAAAAATACAGTGACTCCATCTCCACAAAAAATTTTTTTAAACAATTTAGCCACGTGTGTGGCACACACTTATAGTTCCTGCTACTTTGGAGGCTGAAGCTGGAGGATCACTTAAACCCAGGAGGTCGAGGCTGCAATGAGCTGTGATTGCACCACTGCACTCCAGCCTGGGAAACAGAGCAACGCCCTGTCTCACACACAAAAAAAGGAAAAAATGAGGAAAAGAAGCCTGAAAAAGGTTAAATATTTTGCCCAAGAACGTACCACTGGACTGGGAGTGATGGGCCTGGCCAACACGGCAAAAACACGTCTCTACTAAAAAATACAAAAATTAGCTGGGCATGGTGGTGCACACCTGTAATTCCAGCTACTTGGGAAGCTGAGGCAGGAGAATCGCTTGAACCTGGGAGGCGGAGTTTGCAGTGAACCAAGATTGTGCCACTGCACTCCAGCCTGGGTGGCAGAGCAAGACACTGTCTCATTAAAAAAAAAAAAAAAAAAAAAGAATTTGGCAATTATTTTCAGCATTTTAAAGACACCATCCCATTGTCTTCTGGATTCTACTGTTTCTTCTGGAAGATCAGCTATCAGCATAATTGTTACTCCTTTGAGTATGATGTGTGCTTCTCTCTGGCTGCCTCCAGCCCTCACCCTCGGCTGTTTTGAAGATTCTCCTGTGTTTTTTATTTTCAGCATGTGTGCCCATGAGGTTTTCAGCAAGATGTCACTGTGATGTATCTCAATGCTTATTTTTTGCCTTCTGAATTTATTCTGCTTTAATCTTGTAGAGCTTCTTAAATCTGCAGATTAATGTCTTTAGCATTTTGGGAACATTTCTGGCCAGTGCCTCTGTAAATATTGTTTGTGTCCCTTTATTCCCCAGCCCCTTTTCCTAGAATTCTAATGACCTGTACATTAGACCTTATCACTGTGGCTTATGTTTTTCAATCTGTGTATTCACTTATTTGCGGTTTCTTTTTCTCCAAATTCTTTGCTTCTCTAGTTCTGAAGCCTCAGTAGTCCCGGATTCCAGGTTTTGGAGTGAAGCCTCCTGAACACTGAGTCTCTGCCTTTGTGTTAGTGTTGCTTGGGAAATAGCAGATGCTTGAAGGGGAGAAGCAAGGAATGACATTGGACTCACCTGTTGGGGGCTTTTTCTCTGGCATCGTTGCCCCTCCAGTACTGGCTGACTTGGTTATTCTCTGTTGTCTTTCAACAACGTGTTTTTTATTTTGTGCAGCTTTTGTAGTTAGGATGTAGTGCAGGACGGTCGGATTGATGCACGTCACTCCATCAGAGCCAGAAATGGAAGTTCTGGTTTAATAAGTTTGAGTTAGAAGTTCCGTTTCTTTTCTTTGGTCTCATTTTTCCTAGTCAGGTAATGAAATACATATTACAGAGGCCATAGTACTGAAATTAAAATTTTAAAAACTAGATTTTCATTCTAGAATCAATGGAAAATTGCTTTGCGATGATGAGCCTTCTGGTTTCAATTTCTTTGTCTGTAAAATGGACACGATCTCATCTACATCATTAGCAGGCTATTGTTTTTTTTTAAAAAAAGTTTTTTTTTTTTTCCTGACAAAATGCTCTCATTATTCTTCCTCATTCTTTTGTAAGTTAGCTCCACGGGGAATTGAGAAATGAATTCTTAACTAAAAACCTTACAGTAAGAGCCGGCGGCAGCAGTCATGCTTACACTGTGTCATGCCCGTGTTTACCACCTCCTCACCCTCAAAGAACATGGGGCAGAAGGGCGAGCAGATGCTAACTCAGTGTGCAGCCAGTCGGAGGGCAGTGGGGGTTCAGTTTGTAATACCCGTACAGGCTGGAGTCTGCACAGCATTCGGAAGAGATTTCAGGTATTTTCTAACAGGAAAGAGAAATGCGTGTGTTCACAGAGGTGACTCTTACCTACATGGAACACCTGCGCCCATTTCAGAAAACCACAGCGTTACGAGAGTGGATACGTGCCTGTTAATTTGAGCACTGCTAAGTACATAAATAGATGATCCGTTAATGTACACAGCTTGGTCGTCTCAGTAAGCCAGAATTGAGTCAACCTTTTTCCAGGTTAACCTAATCTAAAAATAACACTTTCATCTCTTATTAATAGGCTAGTTGTTATCTAATGTTTTGCTGTGGGTTCAGGGTTCCAGAATAAATCATGCTTTGATTACAGGGTGGATCAAGTTAACGTTGACTTACTCAGGATGAGGCTGGGCAGAGCTGTGGCCTGTCCCAAGTCTCATCTAAGACAGAACTCATCAAATCCTAGGTCTTGTTTATGTCATGCAGGAGAAGGTACAGAAATGCTTGTATTTTATCTGGCAAGAGGCACAGTGTGGCTGGAGCAGGGGAGGGAACAAAGCATCTAAAAATATTCTTTCTTGCTTTTAGTCCTAGTAAGAGATTTTGTCCCATTATTAATCCAAGTTATGAACTAGAAGGATTAACCCCAGGGGCAGGTACACATCTTAGGTCCACTGGTCCTCCATTCGCTTAAAAACCCCTCCAGGTTCAAGGTCTCTACTTCATTTCCATCTTGACAAAGTCTTGTGGACTTTTTTTTTTTTTGAGACAGAGCTATTGCCCAGGTTGGAGTGCAGTGGTGCGATCTCAGCTCACTGCAACTTCTGCTGCCCAGGTTCGAGCAATTCTCCTGCCTCAGCCTCCCGAGTAGCTGGGATTACAGGTGCCTGCCACCGTGCCCAGCTAATTTTTGTATTTTCAGTAGAGACAGGGTTTCACCATCTTGGCCAGGCTGGTCTTGAACTTCTGACCTTGTGATCCACCCACCTCGGCCTCCCAAAGTACTGGGATTACAGGCATGAGCCACCACTCCCAGCCCTTTTTGGGGGTTTTAAGAGACATTTCAGAGTATCTAAGTTACTGTCATTTTATTTTGAAATTACACAGGTAAGAAAGAGAGCAGGAAGCAGCCCCAAGAGTGGCCTGGCTTGGCCTCAGGCAGGGAGGCATGCTATATAGGACATGAGACATCTAGGGATCAGGTGATCTTGTCATCCACTCAGCAGTGGGTGACACTTTCTACACTGAGCTCCAACATCATGGTCAAGAGCTCCCTGATGTCTTTCCTTCTTAATCTCCTGCTACTGCTGCCAGACATCTCCCTATTCTTAAATCATTCTCTAAACACAGATTAACTGAACACCTACCCATGAGCCCATGATGGCTCTGGGTAGCTGGGATTCACGGGAACACATCCAAGTTGGTGTTCTTTCTGCAGTGTGCTTCTGCTTGCTGATATCCTCTGAGGTTCATGGGTTCTGTCCGCTGCCTTTGCTGTGTTTCGCAACTGTCTGCCTCTACAGGTAGCACAAACACTGCAACCCAGAGCATGTGGTGGTTCCTGCCAGTCTGTCATCTGTATTAAGCACTCACATTGAGTGGAGCTCTTATTCCAGGCTCTCTTCTGGATCATACTTGGGCCAGACACCAATATTTGGTCTAGTTCACTGTGGCCAGGATAGCAAGGTCTCCAAAGTAACTATGGTGACTTATACCTCAGGAGACCCTGACCAGGAGGCTCTGAGGGTGAGATGTGACGGGTGCTCTCCAGAAAGTGTCCATTTACACCATACATAGCTTGTCCAGCATGGTAGTGATCATTATCCAGACAACATGGAGCCAAGCGTGTATCATAATATAGAACCATCCCACCTATGTATCTGAACTGAGCAAACAAATTTAAAAAGTTAAATATCCAACTCTCTTTTAGGTTCCCTTCTGACAACAGCAAGGGCTTCTAATGTGAATGAGGCTCAGGGGAATCTGCTAGCTATCTCTGGCTTCCCTGGCACCATGCAAAGACATGCTCCTGTAGAAGAGAATATTGAAAGCCATCCAGACCCCAGCTGTAGCAGCACTGGAAGCCAGAATGGTTTTCTCATGGAGAATTCCTGAAGGACCTCCTATTGAGCTCACCTGAGTGACATGGAAGGATGACATGTGGGACAATCGGAGTGAACCTGGGGTGGTGAGAACACTGCAGGCATCCAGTGGATTCCTTTAAAGCAGGTTGCTCAACTGTGGTCCTGTTGACGTTTCGGCTGGGTGATTCTCCACTGTGGGGCCTAACCTGGATGTTGTAGGATGGTTGGGGGCATCTCTGGCCCCCAACCACCACGTGCCAGGAACATCCAGTGCTCATCCCCAATGTCTCCAGACACTGCCCAGGGTCCGAGTGCCATCACTTTCAACTGAGAATCACTGCTTAGAGGGAAGCAATTTGTGGATGAGAAGCATGCAGGCTGTGACTCACAATTTCAAACCAATGAAGTTCAACCTCAGACTGTTGCAAAAAAAAGTACTCCGCACTCACCAACAGTCAACATAATTTCATTCAGCCAAATCTTGTGTATTTGCTAGTAAACTGTGCACCGAGTGAATTATTTGCAGCATTATTTAAGACCCTGAATTAACATTATCTAACATGTTTGGAAGCAGGGCAGCCCTCAAATCTCTGGTTAATGTGATTTCAGGAAAACATAAATAGGTTCATAGTGTTTTACAGACCAGAGTGGGTCAAAATTGAGGAAGAAAATCTGCTACCAGAAATCTATGCAATTAAGGAAGCTACCTGTGACTGACTGCAGAAAAGCTCTCACGACGTGGGACAGGGAACATATGAGCTGGAAGCAAACCTAGGGAAAACAGATTCTGGATTTCTCATGTGTGTGGGGCTGAGCAGGAGGGAGACTTGGGCTTGTAGGGAGCCAGGAGCTCTGGAGAGGGGATGGAGGCAGAAAGAGCAACCCTCGGATGTGGAATTTGGGTGGGCTGTGGCTGTGAGTGAGCAGGTGGAGCCTGGAACAGAGGTTCCTGTAACCAGTCTCCCTTGCAAGAGAGCTGGGTTTGTCGGGGGAAACCAAGGTCTATTTCCCTTCATCTACCTCTCCCACGCCAGGAAGCAGAGCAAAATCACACATGTAACCCTGCAACTAGACCCCCGGGCTGTGTCTTACCCATTTTTCATCCTCTGTACCTAGCACGGTGCCTGGCACAGAGGAGGCACTCAAGGGGCACTGGACTGAACCCAGTGGCTTCAGAACAGCTCCCAGGAGAAGCTGGAGTGACTCCATTCAAAGGGCACTGGAAAGATGCCTGGAGTCCTTTTCTACCCAGGCACAAGCCTTTTCTTTATTGCCCAACTCTGATGCCTGAGGTAAAGCAATAGCATGACTGAATGTCTTTCACATTAGAGTGTAATTTATCCACATCAGCCGCAGCCTTTGATCTCACCAAGCTGAGAGAGGAGAGAAGTGATGAGGCGTACAATGTGTACGAGGTGAGTGAGGTGTATGTGGGCTGCAGCAGCTGAAGGGAGGGAAGGGCCAGGAGGCTGCGGGTGTAGATAGAACGTTCCCGTTGGGACTTGGAGGCCCTTGGCCAGCACATACAACCCAGGAGGAGAGATCTGAGACTTGGTCTTGCCATGGTGGGCCATGTTTTAGTATTGTCTGCGTTATCTGCTGGGGATAACAGAGCTTCCTACAGGCTCCTTGAGAAGTGCTTGTGAACCTCTCTATAGTCGAGGCTTGTGGGCCGTCTTGTTATGCCCTAAGCCTGGATCCGCTTGCAGGTTGCTCTCAGATGAACCTGAGTGATGGCCTGTCTTTTGTGGGTCTGCTTTTCGGGACATGAAGGCCAAGAAATGATTGTTCTGGACTGCATTTGTTTTGTTCGATGAACACAGACTTGGACCTTGTTTTTCTTGACTGTCACTGTCTCAAAGGTTTTAATCAAAGGCTATTTGGAAATCATGCCAGCTAATTAATGTTGATGAGGCAACAAGGGTGACTCTTCCTTAGTGCCTTAAACCTTTCACCTGAAACACAAACATGCCACATTGGAGCTTTAATTGTCAAGGAAGATGAAAAGTATACCAAACCATTTGCTGGGCAAAGGCCTCCTGTTGATATAGGCAGCAGGAACCCACAGGCTTGTGCAATGCAGGCTTGTAGCTGCAGATCCATTTCTCCCCAAGCACGCTGCCCCATTGAAAGTGGGTAAGTGATGCGTCTGATCTCTAGCAAGCTCCACCGGGAGAGCACTGAAATCTTAGCCAAGTAGCCCTGTCTCTCCGTTGTTTTCATGGAAAGCCCTACTAAAAATCAGACTGCACAGAGTTCCTCTCTTGAATCAAAACTTGCAAGAGAAAGATGAAATAAGATTCAAACGTGTGTTGTTTCCTACACTTGGGTACTTATTTGTTTGTGGATTTATAAAGGGCCCCTCTTTCATTTAGCCAGTGACATTTATTTAGAAGCTAACATGTGCCAGAGACTGCAGATAAAAAGATGTGAATCCTGCAAAAAAGGGGCATGCAGTCCAGGATTAGAAACAAATAGCAGATGATCACAAAACAGCATTACAAGTGCACTGTTAGTACCACTTTGTGAGGCACTTAACTCAAAGGGGTGAGGATGAGAAGTAAGAATTAAGGAAGAGGTTTGCTTGCGTTGAGAAATATTCCAATATATATGTCTTGAAATATGGGTCATGGCTCAGATCAAAACTAGCAGGTTGATATTAGTGTCAGCCATATTCATTTGCTAAGAACCTGGATGTGTTCGGGCGGCAGTAAGTCTACCTCTAATCCAGTTCCTGCGCTCCGCTAACAATGTTTTCTGTCTAATCTTTATAATGCATCTTTTTCCCTTATCATTTTGTGGATGATGAGATTATCCAATGCTGATGTTAACTAGTCTCAACATAAGCCATTTTCTGGTTTGGTACGTGAGTGTCTTGTTAACTATCTGCGTTTATGTAATATAAGTCAATTGATTTTGAGTCTTGTAGTTGGCCTATGAGGTAATTTAGATAGAAGTTGAACTGATTCAACCTGAGCTATCAGCAAAAGAAAGGATTTGGTAAGTAAATTAATAGCTAAATAAAATTACTGGAATTTTAAAAGTTTATAACTTTTAAACAGAATCCATTGTTTAAAGTCTTTTTAAACTTGACAAGTATCCATTTACTTTCAAAAGAATTAAATAAAATTAAAGAGATATTTTCCTAAAGAGATATTAATATTAGACATAAATATGGTCATGCATCACTTAATGATAGGGATACACCTGAGATATGTGTCGTTAGGTGATTTCATCATTGTGGGAACATCATTGAGTGAACTTACACAAACCTAGGAAGTAGAGTCTATTACATGCCTAGACTCAATGGTAGAGCCTATTGTTCCCAGGCTACAAAGCTGTACAGCATGTTACTGTACTGAATACTGTAGGCAATTGTAACACAGTGGCATTTGTGTATCTCAACATAGAAAAGGTATTTTAATCTTATAGGGCCACCATCCTAAATGTGGTCTGTGGTTTACCAAAACATTGTTATGCTGTGTGTGACTGTATTAAATCTAGTTCTATAGGAATTTCTTGAATGTAGTAAAGTTGAATATCTTAAAACAATTCTGTAATTAAGATGAGTTGCCAAATCATATATAATAGTGTAAATTAAGGCCATTTTAACTTTTTTGTTGAGATGTTAATGTCAACAAAACGGTTCAAATGAAGGTCTTGAGTTGGTTGATGTAACAGGACCATTCTGAAACTTTCTAAGGACATGAACCCTTTTGAAAATCTGATGAAAGATGTGGGTAGACTTCTCAAAAAATACATGTATTACAGACCTTGCCACACTGTTTTTAATAGTTTCTGACTTCCCAGGAGCCTCTCATGATGTTAAAGCAAGTCCTCTTGACCTAATGCAATAATGCAGTTCACGTCAGATAGAGCAGTTTCTCATCTCTCCGCTATTTTCACGGAAAGCCTTACTAAAAATCAAACTGCTCTTCAGTTTAATTAGATCCCATTTGTCAATTTCGGCTTTTGTTGCCATTGCTTTGGTGTTTTATTCATGAAGTCTTTGCCCATGCCTATGTCCTGAATGGTATTGCCTAGGTTTTCTTCTAGGGTTTTTATGGTTTTAGGTTATATATTAAGCCTTTAATCCATCTTGAGTTAATTTTTGTATAAGATGTAAAGAAGGAGTCCAGTTTCAGTTTTCTGCATATGGCTAGCCAGTTTTCCCAACACCATTTATTAAATAGGTAATCCTTTCCCTATTGCTTGTTTTTGTCTAATTAAACTAAAGAGCTTCTGCACAGCAAAAGAAACTATCATCAGAGTGAACAGGCAATCACAGAATGGGAGAATTTTTTTGCAATCTATCCATCTGACAAAGTGCTAATATCCAGAATCTACAAGGAACTAAAACAAACTTACAAGAAAAAAAAAACAACCCCATCAAAAAGTGGGCAAATGACATGAACAGACACTTCTCAAAAGTTGGCTGTTATGCAGCCAACAAACATATGAAAAAAAGCTCATCATCACGGCTCATTAGAGAAATGCAAATCAAAACCACAATGAGATACAATCTCATGCCAGTTAGAGTGGCAATTATTAAAAAGTCAGGAAACAACTAGTGCTGGAGAGGATGTGGAGAAATAGGAACACTTTTACCCTGTTGGTGGGAGTGTAAATTAGTTCAACCATTGTGGAAGACAGTATGGCAATTCCTCAAGGATCTAGAACCAGAAATACCATTTGACTCAGCAATCCCATTACTGGGTATATACCCAAAGGACTATAAATCATTCTACTGTAAAGATACATGTGCATGTATGTTTATTGCAGCACTGTTCACAATAGCAAAGACTTGGAACCAATCCAAATGCCCATCAATGATAAACTGTATAAAGAAAATGTGGTACATATACACCATGGAATACTATGCAGCCATAAAAAAGAATGAGTTCATTTCCTTTGCAGGGACATGGTTGAAGCTGGAAACCATCATTCTCAGCAAACTAACACAGGAACAGAAAACCAAACACTGCATGTTCTCACTCATAAGTGGGAGTTGAACAATGAGAACATGTGGACACAGGGAGGGGACCATCACACATTGGAGCTTTTGTGGGGTGGGAGGCTAGGGGAGGGGTAGCATTAGGAGATATACCTAATGTAAATTATGGGTTGATGGGTGCAGCAAACCACCATGGCACATGTATACCTATGTATAAAACCTGCATGTTCTGCACATGTATCCCAGAATTTAAAGTATAAAAAGAAAAAATCAGACTGCACAGGGTTCCTTTCCTGGATTGAAACTTGCAAGAGAAAGATGAAATAAAATTCAAAGGTGTGTTTTGTTTCCTACACTTTGATTTTTGTTCGTGGATTTATAAAGGACCCCTCTTTCATGTAGCCAACATTTATTTAGAAGCTAACATTTAGAAGCTATGAAATTAAAAGAACTCTTCCACACACGGCTCAGGCAAGGAGCCAGTTTATGAAAAATCCAACAAACAAAGGCATTTTGTAAACTTAAAATATAGAAAAATAAATCTAGCCATCTCAAAAGAAGTTTTGATACATCAGCTCTTTTGTCATATGTACATGGAGTATACATGGAATCTACATGTGGGATGCATATGGGGTGTATGTATGGAATATACACATATACATTTCCAGAGTATAGTTTATGTTTTTCCTGTACTCTCATAATCAAAATGGCTTAAAAATTATATACCTGATCAAATATGCAAATACCAGGCTGGGAGCAGTGGCTCATGCCTGTAATCCCAGCACTTTGGGAGGCTGAGGCGGGTGGATCACGAGGTCAGGAGATCGAGACCATCCTGGCCAACATGGTGAAACCCCGTCTCTACTAAAATACAAAAAATTAGCTGGGTGTGGTGGCACGCACCTGTAGTCCCAGCTACTTGGGAGGCTGATGCAGGAGAATTACTTGAACCCAGGAGGCAGAGGTTGCAGTGAGCCAAGATTGAGCTCCTGTATTCCAGCCTGGCAACAGAGCAAGACTCTGTCTCAAAATATATATATATATGCAAATACCAAAACATGTCTCATAATCAATATGGCTTAAAAATTTTGTACCTGATCAAATCTGCAGATACCAGAATGTACATCAAATATGTCTGTCTATGGCCCAATCTTTGTCATTTTGTAAAACTTATCAAACAACAACTTGAGTGTGGACTCAGCAACTTCCTAGGCACTTTCCCTCCCATCTGGGAATGGTTCCTGCTTATGCTGAGGACTTCAGTTTTCACTTCGGGCTTTGACATTTGTACAGGCTATTCTTTTTCCTTAGTGAAGTTCAAACCTGTATGGGTAGAGGCAGAAAGAAATGTCAAAGTGTGATCACCTACATGGCAGGTAGGACCTCTTTGCTTTTGAGTGATTTCTGTTTTCTGATTATTGGGACCAGACTTCACCCAATGGTGGGATACCTTCCCTTAGAAAGTTGTAGGCCGGGTGCAGTGGCTCACACCTGTAATCCCAGCACTTTGGGAGGCCGAGGTGGGCAGATCACCTGAGGTCGGAAGTTCGAGACCAGCCTGACTAACATGGAGAAACCCTGTCTCTACTAAAAATACAAAATTAGCCAGGCGTGGTGGCACATGCCTGTAATCCCAGTTACTCGGGAGGCTGAGGCCGGAGAATCACTTGAACCTAGGAGGCAGAGGTTGCGGTGAGCTGAGATCGCACCATTGCACTCCAGCCTGGGCAATAAGGGCGAAACTCCATCTCAAAAAAAATAAAAATAAAAATAAAGTTGTAAAGTTGGGATGGGCCATGAATGCAGTAGATGAGAGATGGAAGCAGGGGTGACTTCCCTCCTTTCTTTAGTGCGTGTGTTGGATTATTAGGTAAAAGCAAATGGTGCCAGGGATGCTGCCCCCGGATGGACCTGGGCAGCAAATTGAACCACGGTCCAGAAGCCCTGATCTGCCTCAAGTCTCCCTGTCTCCTCAGTTCAAACCTAGGGTGCACTATTGCTCACTGAGGAGTATGTGGAAGGTCCCAGGATGGTGCCCCTTACCTTCAGAAAACTGTGTACTCCCTCCTCTTATCTAAACCTCCGGCAGAAGTAGCACATGAACAGTGGATTTTCAGGCAGGAAGGGGGACGTGAGAGGCCTTGGCAATGTGCCAGTACCTGGAAAGCACTCAAGGCCGTCTTCCATTCTTCGTAGAGTCAGCGGCTTCTGGCTGCATGAAGATGCTGTCACTGCTGGTGGCATGATCCATGTTGATGTCACTGATGAGACCCAGATTCTCAGCCCAGACCCCAACCCAGCACCTGTGACACTGCCTGGGGCTGGCACTGTTGTCCCTGCATGAGAATCGGTCCCTCCTAGCTACCGTGTTCTTGCATTTTCGGCTCTCTGTGCCTCGGCCGTTGAACACAGACAAGTGAGGTAATTGGGATCCCTGGTTTCATTTGTTTATACCCTGCCTACTTCAAGATGGAAGGACGCCACTCATAATAGAAGCACAGATGCAGTAAGAACGAGGTTTGGTAATGCAGACGAAGGGCCAAAAGCCAACAGTATGATGGGGAGGGATTTCTCTTTATGGACAGAGATAAGTACATCAGAGCTGGAAGGAACGCAGTCCCCCAGCACACAGAGAGTTTTCTCTGTTCTTTTTTCCCCTCCTGTCTTCACCTCTTCTCTGCTTTCGTTGCCTTTCCCTTTTTAAAAATTTCAGACCACACATGTTATAGTTAGAAGGAGTTCAGAGATGGTTTTGTCTGACTCCCCCATTTAACAAATGAGGTATCTGAGGCCTGGAAGAGGTATCCAGCTGCCCCAGCATTCTTGGGCGAGAGCTCAGGTCTCCTGAGGGGCCATCCTGAACCTATGGAGAGAGGGCTTTAGGCTGCTTGACCAGTAGCTCTCTAGCTGCCCTGTATTTTCAGCTGAGCAGCCCATAGGGACCGAGATGGCATGAGGCTCTGACCCTGGAGCCCTGCCCATGGAGCACCCTGGAGCCGCAGGGACTGTCAGAGCTTGGGGGCCTCCAGGCTCGTGCGGGGCTCCTCTCTCTGGCCCCATCCAGCCAGTCTGCATTTGCTGTTCCCGCTGCCACCCTGGTGGCTTTTTTCATAGGCCCCACAGCTATTTTTCTGGCCTCCATGGTCCTCAGAGGCGAATGGCAGCTCTCTGTGCCACTGCCACTGCCAGACCCAAGGTGTTGTTCTTCCTGTAGCCCACCCATAGTCAGCCATCTCCCCCCAGGCCCCTCCCAGGCCAGGGGCTGAAGCCTGCTGGGTACAGACAGGTTGGGGTGAGCTACACACCCCATCAGCAACTGTCTCGGAATGAACCTTACCTTCCGTCACCCCGGCTGTGCTTCCAAGACCATTAGTCCCACGCGTCTCCCTTCTCCTGAGCCTTTCTCTGGGGCTCTGTGTGCCGCGGGCCTGAGTAGGAAAGTCACGGCCCCTTCCCAGCTGTGTGACCCGGGGCTGGTTTCCGTGGCTCTGTGTGTCTGTCCTCTCATCTGTAAAGTGGGGCGATCACAGTACCGCCTCATGGGTTGTCCTGAGGATTAAATGGGTGAGTTGATCTGGAGCACTCTCAGCAGTGTCTGGCAGCGGCAGTCACGACACATTCGCTAGGATCTCTGTGTTCAAATGGTGTGTGTGGGGGTGTGTCTTGGAGGAGACTGTCAGTAAGTGGGTTTGTTACAGGAAGACATCTAGCCTCTGTTTGCGTCAGTTTCCTCATCTGTAAACTGAGAATAAAAATTCTGCCCTCCCCACGGTGTTATTACATGTTTCTTCACGTGAAGCCTACAGAACAGCCCTTAGCATGTAGGGTTTAATAAATGTTTGCTGTCATTGTTTTGCTTGTAATTCATTAATTACTCAGTTATCGTTAGAAAGCTGATCTCGTGTGCATGAGGCTTTCTTGCTCATAGGGAATCCATGGATGCAGATACATTTATAAGGTGGAGTTATAGTTAAAGCTTTGCGTCTAAGACCTAAATACAAAAGGATATTTTGTTGAAGGAGTGAAAGTTTAACTCCAGGGCAGAATCCAAGCCCTAGACTCTTGCCCAAATTCATTCGGAAAAGTGTGGATTTAAAACATTTGTTATTCTGGGCTGGGCATGGTGGTGCATATGCCTGTGATCCCAGCGCTTTGGGAGGCCGAGGTGGGAGGATTGCTTGAGCCCGGGAGGTCCAGGCTTCAGGCAGCTGTGAGCACGCCAGATCCACAGAGCGAGACCTTGTCTCTAAAAACAAAAAACAAAACCCCCAACATTTTTTATTTGGATACAGTACTGTATTAGTTTCAGTATTGTATTCAATATTGCTATCGTATCAAGTTACCACACATTTAGTGGGTTAAAACAAGACGAATTTGCTCTCTTACGGTTCTGGAGGACAAAAGTCTGAAATCAAGGTGTGGGCAGGGCTGGTTCCCTCTAGAGGCTCCCAAAGAGAACCCGTTCCCTTGTCGTGTCCAGCTTCTAGAGATGCCTGCACCCCTTGGCTCTCAGCCCCTTCCTCACCTCACCCTGACCCCGCTTTGTCCTTGCCGCTCCTTCTCTGATTTTCTCCCTCCTGCCTTCTTCTCGTAAGGACCTTGTGGTAACCTCTGGGGTTCCCTGGATCATCCGGGATCATCTCCCCATCTCCAGACCCTTCACTCCATCCCATGTGTGAAGTTCCTTTTGTCATAGAAGGTGACATGCATGGGTTCTGAAGATTAGAACATGGGCATCCTTGGGTGGGGAGGGCATTATTCAGCCTCCACAGACACTGAGGGTGCACCTTGACGATGTCTCTTCCAGATTGTCCCTGAAAACATAAATATTTCTGCAATGGGTAAAACTCTTCTGTTCCTTGGTCAGTGTAAGATTTTCATTCTGGTTTGCTCAGGAGAGTTCTAAATCATGCCTGTTGTCCTGGCATAATTGCCTTATTTATTTAATTCATTAAAAAATAAAAACCGTATATTATTATGGTGTACAACATGACATTTTGATATATGTGTACATTGTAGAATGGCTAAACCAACTTAATTAACGTATGCATTACTTTACCTATCACTTGTTTGTGATGAGAACACTTGAAATCTATTCTCTCACAATTTTCAAGAATATACTATGTGTTACTATACACTAGAGTCACCATGATGTACAATAGATCTCTTGAGCTCTGGTATAATGATCTTAAAAGGTATCATGATTGTAATTCATAATAATTAAAAATGATCAAAAGCATCCTCCCCCTTTCCCTTTCAAAAGTGTTCCAGGTCTGGGCAACAACTAGAGGGTCATGAATATTCAAAGTGGGGAAACTAAGAGGCCCTCCTTCTGCAGGGCTTGGTGGGAGAGCCCCCGCGGCGGGAAGGGATGAAAGTGTGCAGAAGCTCTCCGATGGCTGAAGCCTCTGCAGACGTTCTCTCTGTAATGTTAAGTCGCTCTACCGGGTCATCCCTTGGGCCCTGGACCCTCAGCCTCACCCACAGCAGCTGGTACACCTCAGACTTCCATGCTGGAGGATGTTCCAGAAAAGGGTCCTGCTGCTCATACAAAGCCAGCCGAGTGGAAACCTGGGAGCCCTTTCGCCGGCCGCCTTTCTATCGCGCTGTCCTAGAAAAGACATAGAAAGACTTGCCTTGAGCAAGTCCCTAAACTCCCCTTTAAAATGGGGGCAAATGATGAGTATTTGGCAGAGCTTTGGTGAATACTAGAAAAAGTATGAGTAAAAAGCTAACAAAGTGGACATATGTAGGTGCTAAAAAATAGGTTGTTATTGAGATGTGAGATTTTGGGGAGTCAAGGGGATCGGTAACTTATTATCCTAATGCTGTTCTTATGCTGTTGAGGGAAAGAAAATATAATTTCAGAGACTGAATGAATAGTGTGACAACTTTTGTGCTTCAGGTGCACAAAAAGGAACTAACTTCTGGGCCTCTTCGCTGGGGCCCTTGGGGATAGATCCTAAAGTCAGATTCCCCTGTAGTGTTTCAGGAGACCCAAGATGCAGGTGTGCTTTCCTGGACTGAGAGAAAACCAAGGGAAACAATGGCTCGGTCTTGGGATTCTCTGCTGTCTCTGCTCCACTCTCCCCAGCTGCTGGGTGGGTCCAGCCTGCCTGGAGTTGCTCTCATGACCTCTTTCCGCTCTTCCCCTGCACACAAGGATGGCACAGGCTTCCGCAGAGCCCTGGGTGTTAGCCCTTGCCATGTGTGCCTTTGCCCTCGAGTTGGGTCCATTCCCAGTGAGGCCCCACGAGAGAAACTCTCATTCCATCAATCTGCCAGTCAGGCACACGCAGGGGCTGGTTTTGTTTGCCCAAGGCTGGATTGCAGTCACACAGTTGTTGAGACCAGTGTTCCTCTCTGGATACACTTTTCTTGTCAGAGAGCACCTTTATTAACTTTCAAAGCAGAGTTACCATTTCCCAAGATGAATTCAGTCCAGACAGAGTATCACGGGAAACAGTAACTGTCTGGGCTCTCCTTTTCGAGGGCAGGGGAGGGGAGAGCTGGGGCAGCTTTCGGGATTACAGAGACCGAGAATTGGTTCATTTTATGGCAAGTGTGGAATGGAGATCATACCCCCTTAAATATTTGAGGGCATGGCTGGCGCACATTGCCTTCAAGGCTGCTAGATCTAAGATATTGGATTCTATACCAGCTTGCTCTGCTCTCAGAGATGTCAGCCGACCACGGAGATAGGCCGTGGGGAAGTCTGCACAGTTGGCCTCCACCAAAGCCTCCTCTCCCTGCTCATGCACCCCACTCCTTACATCAAGAGGAATAGTCTGATTCCCCTCCCCTTGCTTCCAGCCTGGCCTTAGCAATGTGCTTGGCTGATGGAAAGTAGTGGCATTAATACATTCTGGGACTTCAAGGCCGTGGCATAGCACTGCCTAGATTCACTGGAATGCTTGCTCTTGGGAGCTCTGTCTCAGAACCCAGAGGCCTACTGGTGCAGGGTATCTGGTCAGCAGCCCCAGCTGAGCTCCCAGCCAAGCATGTGAATGAGCCAGCCCAGCTCTATGGAGACTTGAGATGGCTGAAGCCCGAGCTGACCTGTGTCTGCCTCCACATGAGAGATCCCAACAGAGAAATGCCTGGGTGAGCCCAGTCCATGCACAAAGCCACGAGAGACACACAAGCTGCCCCCTGGGTTGTTATGCAGCAGCAGATGGCGAGAATGAACAGTGATGGGGCAGGCAGGTGCTGTTGTCTGGCTATTTGTCTGCAAGTTTACAGAATGGACCCCAGCTCTACCGCACTGGTGGTTCCATTTCCAGACATGACACAGTCCAGAGGGGTGGGCCTCCTGACTCAGTGGTCTCAGACAACTTGAGAAACCTCCAGGTGTCTGAAACCACAGGCTTAATTTTGGAAGGGCTGACTTGGCCTCTTAGCTACCTCCGTCCCGTCGGCTGTTTTGATTCATTAGGCTTTTCCGAGCTCTAGTAATGAAGGATTGCCAGGTAGCACTTGGTTCAGGGGAAGGAGATTTGCAACCTGATGGCCAAAAATAGTAAGTAGAGACCTGGCTCAAGAAGGCTGGGAGGCTTTAGAAAATGATATGCTGACAATACAATCTTTTTCCTGTATTTTTTTTTCAGCTTTACCCGAGATGCCTTACCTATTAGTAGATACTCTATAAATATCACTTAGAGTAATTAAGTAATAGAGATTGCAAACATTTAAACAGTGTAATGATAGCCTCTGCATGCATAATATTTGCACACAGTATCCACAGCATTTCAGGGGAGAAAACAAATTAATCTGTTGGCTTTAAGCATTTAACAAATCACATAATACGTATGTGGATTAGTTGACTCCATTAATGCTTGAGTTGAAAACCTCAGCTCCCACCTCTTTAAATGCTTACAATTGAAAGCTGCATATAACTTGAAAGGGAAATTGACCCTGTAGTCACTGAAGTAAATCTTGAAAGGTAAATCATTCAAGACATGGCAGCTGCGTGTTAAGGAAAAGAACAGAAAAAGAACAGAAGAGTATGTAAAATTATGTAGGGCTCATCAGGAAGGGAATGTTCTCGTTTGCTGTGAGCTGGCCCCATGGAAGGGAGTGACAGCTGTCAGTCACATCCACCCGGCCACAGGAGAGGGACATTCACAGGAGGTGAGCTCAGCTCCCTTCTGTTAGGGTCCGAAGCTCCCTGTTATGTGGGGTGGGTCCCGTTACTCACTCCAGCTGCTTCAGAATATGGGATGTGGCTCCTGGTTTCTCCTTTTTTTCCTGGGGCCAGAATGTGGGGCCTTCTGACTGAGGCCCATCTGCCTTCCCTCCACACTAAGGGCCTTGTTGGCATTAACTGGGATCATATGACTGTCCAGTGAGTTCTGACAATGGACTCTTGTTCTGGGTGCCATACTAGTAGGCAATCTAAATTTGTGATTCGAGCTTGAAGAATGCACTGGGAATTCAGGATGGTAAGCCAGACTTGTGGGAGATCATGTCTTCATAAAGCAAAGCTGTCCAGATGAAAGCGTCATGGCAAGGGGGCTTGCTCTCTGTGCCCAACCTCTGTGATTTCACTGCTCCCGCACACAGCAGGAAGCCCGAGCCATCCCTCTGCCTTGGGCTCTCCTTGGAGGAGTTCACCCATTCACAGTCTTAAAGGGACAGAGAACTTCTCAGAGCTTGGGTTTTACTCTTGGCTTGGGCACTACGTTGACTATAAGATCTCGGGACAATCTCAAAAGTTTTCTGATCTCAGTTTCGTCAGTTGGAAAATAAGTTCTTACTAGATAATTTCTAGCTTCTTCCAACCCTGATATCCTTTTTTTGTTTGGTTTTGCTTTGTTTTTTAGATTGTGAGAACATCTATTAAAATGTAATTAATTGGTAATATAAGCTGCAGGTTTATTTATCTTTATTAAGGCATAATTGACTAATACAAATTATATATATTTACAGTGTACAATGTGATGTTTTGAGATATGCATATATTGTGAAAGGATTAAGTCAAGCCAATTAATATATCCATCACCTCACATATTTACCAATTTTTTTGCTGGTGGGAACTTTTAGGATCTACTCTCTTCTTAACATTTCATAAAAAAGTGGTAAGCCGGTGAGGTGATGGGTTAATTATCTTGTTTTAATCTTTCTACAATGTATATGTAGATCAAACATCACATTGTTATACCCCCATAAATATACACATTTATTATTTGTCTCTTAAAAACAAATAAATTTGTCATTAAAGATCTACTCTCAGCAATTTTCGAGTATATGATACAGTATTATTAACTATAGTTGCCTTGCTGTATAATAGATCCCCAGAATTTATTCACCGTATGTAACTGCAAGTGTGTACCCTTTGACAACATCCCCTAGACCCAATCCCCCAGCCCCTGGAAAACATCCTACTGTCTGCTTCCATGAGTTCAACATTTTTAGATTCCACATATAAGTTTCTCTGGCCATGGCCAGAGAAAATGCTCTGATATTTTATGCTTCTATCAGCATTTCCCGTTTCGTCCATCCTCTCATTTGCTTTTCCTTTTGTTTAGCTTGGTGAGTTTAGGAGGGATATCATCCCCCTCGCCTTTTCATCTATCCCTTCTGCTTCTTTCTTCAGACAACATTCATCGTTCCTCCCTATCCCTGTGGGTCAGATTATTCCCTTGTAAGGTTTTTCCTTATGTTTTCTTGAGCTTCTCCTTCCTTCTTCATGAACCAGTCCCCAAGCAAAAGGAACTAAGTTTTGACCCTTTCCTAATCCCAAGAGATTGCACCATGTACTCTAATGCTCTCTGAACACATTGCTCTTCATCCTTTGTTTTGGAAAATTAGCTTAGGTTTTATTAAGTGCTTAAGAGCTCACGATGTGCATATCTGCATGTCAAACCTTAATAAGGTTTCTGAGAAAGCTGAGAGTATTTGTCTTTTTTGCCCCAGGCACTGTTGAAAAATTTAGTAAGAGTGAACTCTAAAAAGTGCAATATTCTTCCACCTGTTTTGCCAAAAATTTAATTTACAAAACTTTGGTCTTACTAAGCAAAATGTATCGAGCTTACCTGAACACAGTTAGAGTTCTCAAAATAGGAGGGTGGCTAAGCAAAGTAAATAGTGTAACAAGCCTCAGTGTGATTTCACAACAGGTTTTTCTTCATCTTATGGTGAATTCCAGAGACTCAGTTTTCTTCAAGTCATTCTGTCTCAGTCAAACAGGGAAAATAAATGCAGTTGAATGAATGCAGCTCCAGCCTCATTTTAAACTATTCATTTGTTTCCATTTCTTCCACCCCAAAAGTCTCAGCATTTCTAGCGAGTAGGCAAAGTGAGAGATGCCAGTTTCACTTTTTCTTTGTTCTTGTCTCTTCCTTGCTGATAAGCAAGGACCTGTGATAACAGGAGCCCTCAAGGGGAAGAAAATGATAATCCCGTTGTCTGGAGAATGAGAGGGACTTAATGGTAGTAAATGCTCAAAGCGACCTTGTGACTATATACTGCTCAGGTCACCATAAGTTTGGTGGCTGTGCATGAGGAATGTGTGTTCAATGATGAAAACGAAAATGGAAGTTTTCCTGGAGTCTGTGGCAGGGGCTGGTTGTTGTCTGCATTGTACTCATTCCCACGCTGTTGCTAACACAACTCCAGTCATTCTGGAAGAAGATAAGCCCAGATACTTACTTTTCTAGCTTCCCTTATAAGTAGGGATGACACATTTGTCACAGCGACAGATACGTCATGGTTCAAGCCAATTACACATAAGCATAAATCTACTGGATCTCAGAATGCTGCCTCTCTCCCAGTAGAGGGACAGATATGGCTGGTGTGGTCTTTTCTTCTTCTTTCTGCCTTGAATGTGAATGTATTGATCAGAGCTGCAGCAACCTGGCATTATTAAGCTGCTGAACCAACACTAGCAATTGCTTAGATCAAAACTTCTTACTTACATTGTTGAAAAATAAGCCTTCTTTTTAAGCCACTGTAGTTGAGTTTTTTTTTTTTTTTTTTTTTTTTTTCTTTTTTTTTTTTGAGACAGAGTCTCGCTCTGTCGCCCAGGCTGGAGTGCAGTGGCGGGATCTCGGCTCACTGCAAGCTCCGCCTCCCGGGTTCACGCCATTCTCCTGCCTCAGCCTCCCAAGTAGCTGGGACTACAGGCGCCCGCCACTACGCCCGGCTAATTTTTTGTATTTTTAGTAGAGACGGGGTTTCACCGTTTTAGCCGGGATGGTCTCGATCTCCTGACCTCGTGATCCGCCCGCCTCGGCCTCCCAAAGTGTGTAGTTGAGTTTTTTGTCACTTGGAGCCAAGAGCTTTCCTAACTGATGGATTCTCTCCCACATATTTTATTATAAATTAATAAATTCCCACCCTCTGTTCTTCCTCCTGTTGTAGACACAAACATGCTTCTATTCATTTGTTGTGAACACCATTTCTGGAGATCTGTGTGTCTGTCAAGGCTCCACCCAAATATACATGGATTAGAACATGTTTAGAGAAGAGGGTGATTATCTGTGTGGGAAAAGGTTCATCAGGGATGAATCGCATGTTCCCACGGTGAGAAGGCTGGGAGCACTTGCCTCTCCGCTCATGCCAGCCCTTCTTCTCCTTCCTGCTCACTGCCTACTACTTTGGAAATTAGGTTCACCCATATAATCGTCATAGTTTGACATGGTTGGACTTGAAAATCTTGGCTTTTTCCTTGTCCCAGACAAGAATCAATCATCCTTGATCTTTTATCTGCCACTCCTGCTAATAAGTTAGCAGAGTTTACATAACCCACAGTCTGGTATTTTATACTGGGCATCATTAAACACTATTATGCAGCTCTATTTCTTGGCATCAGCACATATTTTTCCAGGTGGCATTTTCCTTCTGTTTGTTAGTGTGGGGAAGTGGAAAATGTGAAATCCTCTTCTGCATAACGTTAGAAAAAAATGTAGGAAGTTGGTAAAAGTTGCTTTAATAAATGCCCAGTAGTAGCTAACAATGAGAGGGCACTCCCTAAGTGGCAGGTATCGTGCTAAGCATTTGTCATGCATTATCCCATTTAATCATTATAGTATTCCTAGGACATAGGTATTGTTAGTTTCTCACTTGATAGATGGGAGAAAAGAGGCTATGAAGCATTAGATTGGTCCCTTATTGACTGAGTTAGGGGCCGGTCTGTGCTGTAAACAGCATCTGTGTTGCAAAATGTGCAGTAAGAGGTAGACTACAGTCCTTAGTCTAAACTTTCTCAGCTTTTAAGAGGGTCTTGAAGTCTAAAATACCCAAGCAGAGCAGAAATATATGGCCTGCTGGTTAGTGTACTTGAGCTTTAAGATTCTCAAATCACACATGGACACAGGAAGGGGAACATCACACACCGGGGCCTATTGTGGGGTGAGGGGAGGGGGGAGGGATAGCATTGGAGATATACCTAATGTTAAATGACAAGTTAATGGGTGCAGCACACCAACATGGCACATGTATACATATGTAACTAACCTTCACGTTGCGCACATGTACCCTAAAACTTAAAGCATAATAAGAAAAAAAAAAGAAAAAAAAGAAAAATTAAATGTAAAAAAAAAAAATTCTCAAATCACTGGATTTTCACCATGGTAGTTTGAAGGCAAGTGTTCATGACCTGCAAGATTAATTTGTTCCAGTTTTCTTGCGTCCTACATGAGTTAAGTGGTATATCCAGGTTTAATTGCCAGCCATCACTGAGGCCTCCCGACCTCCCTTGCAGCACAGGTTCTACCGCGGGGCTGAGTATTCATTCCTGTTTCTGTTTTCTCACCAAAACCACTCTGGGCTTTGCCTGTGTGGCTGTGGTTCTCAAAATGTGGTCTGCAGACTCCAGCAACACTCTGTCCTTTTTGCCATCACACTGATGGTGCCAACGCAGTGTGTGCAAAACTGTGGGCATCTTGGCAGGAACCAAACTGGCAGCAGCGACAGCCTGCGTGGTCTCTGTATCTCCTCACACATGCCCCTTGGGAAACCAATGAGCAAATAGAAATGAGTTTCACTAAAGAATGTCCCTGATGAAGGAGCAAAAATAATCGATGGCATTTCCTCTCAGCCCTGGAGGACAGGTGCTCTTCCAATTTGTGTGAGGGAAGCAGAGGCAGTGCCAAGCATGTCTGTTGCCCACCTGGGTGCAATGGGCACCCCCAGGAAAAGTTCTCATGGGACCCAGTTGAGAGCAAGACTCTTGCTGTTTGAATGGCATGACATTTTTACATGCGAGAACAAAGATGTATGCGTGCATGTGTCTTTATAGTACTGTCTTTACAGTAGAATTATTTATATTCCTTTGAGTATATACCCAATAATGGGATTGGTGGGTCAAATGGTAATTCTGCTTTGAGTTCTTTGAGAAATCAGCAAACTGCTTTCCACAATGGCTGGACCAATTTACATTCCTACTAGCAGTGTAGAAGCATTCCCTTTTCTCCACAACCTCAACAGCATCTGTTATTTTTTGACTTTTTAAATAATGGGTAGACTGGATAAAGAAAATGTGGTACATATACACCATGGAATACTATGCAGCCACTAAAAAGAACAAGATTATGTTCTTTGCAGCAACATGGATGGAGCTGGAGGTCATTATCCCAAGCAAACTAACACAGTAACAGAAAACCAAATACGTTTTCACTTACAAGTGGGAGCTAAACATTGAGTACATATGGATGCAAAGAAGGGAACAACAGACTCTGGGGAGTACTTAAGGGTAGAGGCTGGGAGGAGGGTGAGGATCTGAAAACTGTGGGTACTATGCCTATTACCTTATGCTTATATTATTATTTTGGTGACAAAATAATCTGTACCAAACCCCTGCTACATGAAATTTACCTATATAACAAACCTGCACATGTACTCCTGAACCTAAAATGAAAGTTTAAAAAAAGAACAACATACAAAAAAGCCTTGATTACTTGAACTTGAGGATGTGACAGATATTTTCTTGAAAATTAAGAAAATGAGTCTGTTAGTTTAAGGAGGAGAACTATCTTTATTGCCAATGATAAACTTAGAGTTTTGAAGAAAAGACTAGAATTTTGGAAAGCTTTTATCCATCACTGTTAGCTTTATAGCTTCCCAATACATAAAGATTTTTCTGACGAGATCAGTAATAATGTTAATGAAAGTCATTTTTACAGTATTGTACAATGGCATTTTTCATCATTTGGAAGATCTATATAGTGCAGGGGATCCATATTTTTTAGATGAACCATATTACAAAATTATACAAGAGAGACCAACGGATTTTAAGGTAACAGAATATGAAAAGTTCCTTAGTTGCTTTCAGATTCCACCTTGCAACTAATCTTTAAGAAACTACCACTTGTTAAGTTTTAAAATAGTATCAAAGAAGAATATCCACAATTATCCTGAAAGGCCTTGAAAATACTTCCCCTTTTACAACTGTGTATTTAGATACATGTGAGGTGAGATTTTTTTTTCCATATACTTGAACCAAAACAATGCGAACTTCGCAAAATGCTGGATGTAAAGCTGATATGAAAATCCCATACTAAGCCAGATAAGAAAGAGATTTATAAAAATGTAAAACAATGCCACTTGCATTGCTAAATTTTTGTTTTGGCGATTGTGATGAATTTATTTTATTTCGTATATATGCACACTCAGGCGCATGCACGCACACACACACAAGCTCTTTGTGAGGCCCTTAAGGATTTTTAAGACTGTAAGAAAAGTCCTGAGTCCAAGAAGTTTGAAAGTGATTGAGAGAATTGGTGGAGGACCCCACAAGGGTGCCTAGTTCTGTTTTCTCACCCAAACCACGGTAGCTGAGGGGTAGGAATGGATAGACTTCAAAATATTATTTTTGCTATGTCGCTCACGTGAAGTTTTGATTCCTTTGGGCACTAGTATGAGAGGGTCTAAAATTTCCTCTTGGGGTTGTTAACCAAAAAATATCTGAGACAGGTCTCAGTCAATTTAGAGGTTTATTTTGCCAAGGTTAAGGACCACGGCCTGTGACACAGCCTCAGGAGGTCCTGAGAACATGTGCCCAAGGTGGCTGAGTTACAGCTTGGTTTTATACACTTTAGGGAGATAGTAGTTACAGGCAAAGACATAAATCAGTATGTGTAAGGTGTACATTGGTTCAGTCCAGAGAGGCAGGACATCTTGAAGCAGGGGCTTCCAGGTCATAGGCAGATTCAAAGATTTCCTGATTGACAATTTGTTAAAAGAGTTAAACTGGAGCTTAAGAATGTTAGTCCGTTCTTATGCTGCTATAAGGACATTCTCAAGACTGGCTAATTTATAAAGGAAAGAGGTTTGGTTGACTCACAGTTTTGCATGGCTAGGGAGGTCTCAGGAAACTTCCAATCACGGCAGAATGGGAAGCAAATACTCCTTCTTCATATGACGGCAGGAAAGAGAAGTGCCAGGTAAAAGAGGGAAGAGCCCCTTTAAAAACCATCAGATCTTGTGAGAACTCACTCACTATCATGAGAACAGCAGCATGGAGGTAATACTACCATGATTCAGTTCTTCCCACCAGGTCCCTCCCTTGACAGGTGGGGATTATGGGAACTACAATTTCAGATGAGATTTAGGTGCTGACACAGCCAAACCATATCATTCCAACCAGGGGCTGCCCCTGGTTCCTCCCAAATCTCATGTCCTCACATTTCAAAACACAATCACGACTTCCCAACAGTCCCCAAAAGTCTTAACTCATTCTAGCATTAACCCAAAAGTCCAAGTCCAAAGTCTCATCTGAGACAAAGCAAGTTCTTTCTGCCTACTAGCCAGTAAAATTAAAAACAAGTTAGTTAGTTAGTTACTTCCTAGATATAATGGGGTTACAGGCATTGGATAAATGCTCCCATTCCAAATGGGAGAAATTGGCCAAAACTAAGGGGCCACAGGCCCCATGCAAGTCCAACATCCAATAGGGAAGTCATTAAACCTTAGAGTTCCAAAATGATCTCCTTTGATGCCATGTCTCACATCCAGGTCACACTGATGCAGGAGGTGGGCTCTGATGGCCTTGGGAAGCTCTGCCCCTGTGGCTTTGCAGGGTATAGCCCCCTTCCTGGCTGCTTTCACAGGCTGGCATTGAGTGTCTGCAGTTTTTCCAGATGCATGGTGCAAGCTGTCGGTGGATCTACCATTCTGGGATCTGGAGGATGGTGGCCCTCTTCTCGCCACTACACTAGGCAGTGCCCCAGTGGGGACTCTGTGGGGGGGCTCTAACCCCTTCCATACTGCCCTAGAAGAGGTTATTTCCCTTCCATACTGCCCTAGAAGAGGGTATTTCCCTTCCATACTGCCCTAGAAGAGGTTCTCCATAAGGGCTCTGCCACTGCAGCAAACTTTTGCCTGGACATCCCGGTGTTTCCATACATCCTCTGAAATCTAGGTGGAGGTTCCTAAACCTCAATTCTTGACTTCTGTGTACCCACAAGCCCAAGACCACATGTAAGCTGCCAAGGCTTGGGGCTTAAACCTTCTGGAGCAACAGCTTGAGCTGTACCTTGGCCCCTTTTAGCCACGACTGGAGCTGAAGCAGCTGAGATGCAGGGTACCATGTCCTGAGACTGCATAGAGTAGGGGGGTTCTGGTCCCAGCCCACAAAACCATTTTTCCCTCCTAGGCCTCTAGGCCTGTGATGGGAGGGGCTGCTGTGAAGGTCTCTGACATGCCCTGGAGACATTTCCCCCATTGTCTTGGTGATTAACATTTGGCTCCTCATTACTTATGCAAATTTCTGCAGCTGGCTTGAATTTCTTCCCAGAAAATGGATTTTTCTTTTCTATCACATCGTCGGGCTGCAAATTTTCCAAACTTTTATGCTCTGTTCCATGCTTTGCTGCTTAGAAATTTCTTTTGCCAGATAACCTAAATCATCTCTCTCAAGTTCAAAGTTCCACGGATCCCTAGGGAAGGGGCAAAATGCCACCAGTCTCTTTGCCAAACCTTTTCTCCAGTTCCCAAGAAGTTTCTCATTTCCATCTGAGACCACCTCAGCCTGGATTTCATTGTCCATATCACTATTAGCATTTTGGTCAAAGCCATTCAACAAGTCTCTAGGAAGTTACAAACTTTCCTGCATCTTTCTGTGTTCTTCTGAGCCCTTCAAACTGTTTCAACCTCTGCCTGTTACCCATTTCCAAAGTTGCTTCTACATTTTGGGGTATCTTTATAGCAGCACCCCACTACCTGGTACCAATTTACTGTATTAGTCCATTCTCACACTTTTATAAAGAACTGCTCAAGACTAGGTAATTTATAAATGAAAGAGGTTTAACTGACTCAGTTCCACATGGCTGGGGAGGCCTCAGGAAGCTTACAATCTTAGTGAAAGGGGAAACAAACGTGTCCTTATTCACATGATGGCAGGAAGGAGAAGTGCCAAGTAAAGGGAGGAAAAGCCCCTTATAAAACCATCAGATCTCATGAGAACTCACTTACTATCACAAGAATAGCAGCATGGGGGTAACCGCCCCCATGATTTGATTATCTCCCACTGGGTCCCTCCCATGACACGTGGGGATTTATGGGAAGTAGAATTCAAGATGAGATTTGGGTGGGGACACAGCCACATCATATCATAAGGCAAGATTCTTGTCATGTAGATGAAGCCTTCAGGTAGCAGGCTTAAGAGAGAATAGATTATGAATGTCTCTGATCTAACCCTAAAAGATGTCAGACTCTCTAGAAAAGACGTAAGAGAAGATTATCTATAGCAAGCAAATTTCCCTCACAAGAGTCAAGTTTGCAGAGCTAAATGTCAAAGAAATAGATTTTGGGGTAAAACGCTTTTATTTTCCTCAGTGCCTGTTATCTGTCATGTGATGCTCTACAAGAGTCAGGTTGGAATTTGGTGTCTTATTGCTACAAAGAATCTGTTCTGTGTGTCTTAAGGTCTCTGTTTGAATTATAATGCTGATCAGTTTTGTTTAAACTCCAAAGGGAGGAGGGTATGTACAATAAGGGATGTCTGATTCCCCAACTCCCATTATGGCCTGAGCTAGTTTTTCAGGTTTCTTTGGGGTCCCCTTGGCCAAGCGGGTGTCCATTCAGTTGCTGGGGGCCTATTCAGTCGTTTAGACTTCTATTTTTGGTTCATAGGGTCCAAACCCTCTCCACAGGATATGTCAATTAGCCAAGAACACAAACACACATGTTGAGCCCTGGTTCTCTTTGTCCTTGAGCTAATGTGGTGGACCCCAGGAGAGTTATTTACCTGGGGGAACATCAGAACCACCAGCAGAATTGGTGGAGTCAAAATGCTCATGTCCAGGTTTTACTGCTGGAGAATTCTGACTCAGAAGGTCTGGAATTTCTTAGTGCTTTTTCTTCATCGTAGAAAGCCAGTTGTGGGTATCTCTTTTCTACTCTGGTTCAGTAATGTTCCATTCTTAGCTTCAAATATTCTATAGCAGGAGTATTTACACCACAGAAATTGGCAAATGCTAGGAATAAGGGACTTGGGATTTTTAGAGCCAATTATTAAGTATTTACCAACTTTTCACCACAGCTTAGGTCTTATTATGTGGCAGAGAAATTAAAATAATGAACTTTAAGCAGTACTTTTCAATAGATTAAGTGCTCAGCAAAAGCTAGATGCTGTTATTATGGTTACTATTTTGCAGATGCATAGGTAATTTTGATGTATACCAACATTTGAGAATCATTATTTTGGCAGAAAAGGATCTGTTAGTTTTTGTCAAGAGCATGTAATTCCTCAATAATTGAAACACAATGGTGAGGCATCCTGATATCAGCATTCTTCACAGTCCTGGACTTCTGGAATGAGGGGAGTCACATCCAAATGGTACTGGTATATCTAGATTCAACTAGCTTTTGTTCTGGACAAAGCATTCCTGTTTCTACTCAAGAAAGGACTCCCAGCCTGCAGGAGCCCAAGGACCATTTTGGATTTTCCTTGCCACCAGGTTATTATAATCATGGTAAGGCCATGAAAAGGACCTAGGAATTCATCAAACCCATTCTCCATAGGACAATGCCAATTTTTCCCCAGGGTTAATCCACTTTCAGAAATATCTCAAGCAGGGAAGCTCCCACTACTTTCTTTGGAGGCAATTGTAATATCCTCAGAGTTGCAGCATTACAAATCTTGGCTTGAAATCAGCCTAGATATTTTCTTCCCATTTGGTTGTTGAGTCAGAAGAATTGGTCTTTTGAAAATGTTCAAGTCTCTGAACTTTGCACATAGTATCACAATTAACAGGGCTTCACTTTGTTTTTTAATGGCAAAATGAAGTTTTCTGGAATTCATACTTTGATGTGGTTGGCTCAAGAGTCTGAAGACATTCTTCTTGGCTTGTAGAGTCACAGAGCCATAGAGCTCCAGACACTCCTAGGTTTTATCTAGGTCAGAACTTTGCCTCCAAGCACAAAAAGCTTCTGAGACAAATGGTTATCTTATCCATCAGACTTTCCTAGGAACCAGTGCAAAAATTTGTTAAGTGGTTTGTTGCCAAGGTTTACAAACTTGTTTAAGTTTTACTTATGACTGATCTTAGGTAGATTTGATTTAAAGCCTTTTGAATGAGTTAAATCAATTTTCATTTAAGAAGAAGGAGGAATAGAAGGAGGAGGAAGAGGAAGAGTGAGATGAAGAAGAAGGAAAGCACACCACATTTAAATATAGTGCTTATTTGATTACATTTTTCAGATTAATTTTGCACTTAAAGGAGGAAGCAGAATATTAATTTGGTTTATGAGTGCATGGTTACTAATTGAAGTGAATACTTGTCAAGTCATAACAAGGAGAAATGTCTCTAATTAAACATATTAATCATAAATTTAGAGAGGATATTTTTGCACACTGTGCTATAAGCATACAAGAAGGATAGCCACTGTCACATTTAAACAGTACACGTTTAAATTATTTTACTTAAGGAAAAAATACTAAGCTTGTATATTCTGTATAGTTTCCTCATGTTTATTTTTTATAAAAACAGCATATGGACTTTTAATCTGTTTCACATTTCTAAACGTTAAATATAATCCTTTAAAATGAAATTCAAATGGGCTTTCTTCCAGGTCAACAAATAAATATATGATGATGAATTATGTAGTTAATTCCGCCTTTTCCCTTCTCTTCCTCTCCTGTCTTTGGACAAAGACAAAAGGAAAGCAAAGACAAATTTGCTTATCTTTCAAATCACTAAATATTTTTTGCAATTTTACCTAAATTAATTCAAAAGAAGAATATGTTTCTACAGCTGTAGAAGAAGTTTCTGAGGTTAAAATTATCATCACTTCAATAAGTGTTGATGGTTACAGGTGCTTAAACATCTTTCAGTGGGTTACTTGGGACTTTTTTTTTTTTTTAACTCAAACACCCAACTCTGTTTGAAATAATTTTCCTTTGGTGCTAAACGTTCTTAAACTTGGACACCACGTGAGCCATTGACATTGTCCAGGATAATTGTTTTTTCTTCATCACAGTTAACGACACTGACACTAGAATTAAGTATTTGGAAGATGTTCAAGAGACGCTCTGGAAACAAGACACACAGGCCTATATTTTTGTCAATTTTGCTTTGAATGTCCACATAACTGTATCATGTTCTATTACAAATAAAAGTTCCTGTGACATGATGATGAATGTCAGCTTTAACATATCCTTAGCAAAAACTGTCTTTGAATACATTTATCAAACAAACATTTTGACTTTTTTGTTAAAAATTTTTATGTGTTTTCTGACACACTGTAAAGTTCCGCTCCTATTTTTTTGTTTGGCTATCGGCAGAAAATGTTCCCCAGACTGATCTGACAGCAGGGTTTCCCAGAGGCTCTCACCAAGCCAACGTTCTTCTCCCTAGTGAGCCCTGTCCTCAGCAGATGTTTCTTCTGCTCCAAATCTTTACTGAGTCTCTGTCCTCTCATGCTGCATGGGACCCTCTTGAACTCCCACGGCTCCTGCAGGCTGATCTTCAGCCATCTTACTCAGCACCACTCCCTGGAAAACCCCACTACCCAGGCCAGCAATTTCCCTCTGATTCTCACACACACAACTTTCCTTCTTTGCCAGTGACTGACGCACCAACCTTGCTTCTCTAAACTGCCACCCTGTCTTCCTTATTCAAACACACTTAGACTTTATAGCAGATTCGTATTTTGCATGTTTGTGTGCACCTGTAGGGGTGAGCATCGCCCTAGGGAATGTGATGGAAGCTGTCAACCCTCCTCTCTGAGCACTGCTCACAGAAACACAAATGCATGCACATTCAGAGGGCTTGTAGACATGCTGAGTGTCTGTGAACTGTGGATTATCAACCCCTGTGCCGGAACTTGCACTTCAGAAAGGCTGAGGGCTCGATAAAATAAGCCAACATCAAGCCAGTCCTTGGAGGGAGGTAGACTGCTGCACGCGTCTGTCATTTTACCCTATCCCGGAGGGAGGTAGACTGCTACACATGTCTTTCATTTTACCCTATCCCCTGGTGCTTTCCAAGTACTCCCTGCTTTCTCAAATGTTTTACCTTAGTTTTGCCTCTTCAATTAGATTTTAAGTTCCTTAAAGGAAGAGACAAATGACCTTAGATGATAATACAAATCCCTTTGATTAAACAGGATACAGTCAATATAGCTGAACATTCATCAGTCAGAGCACATTAAGATGAAACAGCAGGACATGTTAAAAATAGAACTACCATTCCATCAAGCAGTCCCACTACTGGGTATCTACCCAAAGGAAAGAAATCATTATATCAGAAATATACCTGCACTTGTATATTTATGGCAGCATTATTGTCAATAGCAAAGACATGAAATCAACCTAAGTGTCTGTCAATGGATGATTGAATAAAGAAAATGTGGTTCATACACACCATGGATTACTACTCAGACCTGGAAAAGAATGCAATCATGTCTTCTGCAGCAATATGGATGATACTGGAAGCCATTGTCTTAAGAAATAACTCAGAAACAAAGTCAAATACCGCATGTTCTCACTTCCAAGTGGGAGCTAAATAATGTGTACACATGGATATACAGCATGGGTTAATAGACACTGGAGACTCGGAAAGGAGGGAGATGGGATGGGAGTGAAGGATAAGAAATTACATAACGGGTGCAACGTTCACTATTCTGGTGATGGATACACTAAAAGCCCAGACTTCACCACTACACAACATATCCATGTAACACAATTTTACTTGTCCCCCCTAAATTTATATAATAAATACATAAATTTTTTGAAAAAGCAGGACATATTGTGTTGTGTAAAGGGATAAGTTTTAGGTACCTTAGAGCACGTGTTCCCTGAGGAAGCTGGATAGCTGCGGTGATGTCACACACTGTGTTCTCCACGGAGGCAGAGGAGAGATCCTCCCCCATCCTACTCACACCTCCACGATGCCCTATTGAGCTCCTGCTCTGCCAAGATGAGGGGGATCCACAGTCTACAGCAAGCACAGATGTGGCAGGTAAGAGAGGAGTCAGAAAGAAAGAAAGAAAAGAAAAGAGAAGGAGAAGAGAGTGCTTGGGGAGGGCAGAGGGAGACTGAGTGGAGGTGTCTGGAGGGAGTGAGGACTGGAGGGTTGCAGTTGAAAAAGGGGTCACATTTGTGCCATGGCTTTCCAAATTCAAGTTGTTTGAAATTTTTTGAGCAATTATTTATTCCTCCCTTTTGAGAATTTACTGTTGTCTACTTCTTTTGTGATCGACAGACATGGGAACTGCCCAAGTAGGAAGAAACACATTGACAAGTTCAGGTTGTGTGCTGCTGGCTGCTAAGGGAAGCTGGTCATCAATTTGCTCAGCCTCAGAAAGGGCGAGATTTGCTTCTTGGTTTCTATTCATCCTTACATTCTGTTATTACACCAAACTCCAAATAATATCCTATGCATTTTATTTCACCATCAACTAATATTTTCATGTTTTAGACCAACGCTAACATCTCTAATCAAGATGTCTTTTTGGTGCGGGCTTACAACGATCTCACCTTTACTGGCTTCTTCCAAAGAGCCCCACCCTTAAAACAGTGATCTGATACATTTTAAAAGGTTAGAAGATAAAAAATATTGTGGCATTTAATGAATATTTGCATATGCATTTAATTTACTTGGAGAGAGATAGAGAATTGCTATTACCAAAGCAAATATAATAATTGCCCTAATTAGTTGATAAAGCTGGAATAAGTACTTTGAGAGAGTTCGTGTCAATATGCCAAGTACCTAAGGTACCTATTTGTCTAAGATGGAACTCTGGATGAGTACCTGCTTGAGCTGTCTTAATTGACTTCATTTTCAATTATGAGATCCATGTTTGTTTTTCTTCTGGGACTTTTATGTTTATAAACATACACAGACTGTCGGTCCTTTATTAAATATATTGCCGGAGAGATAGGGCCCACAACCATGTCCTAGGACAGGCTTTACTAAATCTGCTCCTCAGAATGATAGTCTAAGACAGAGGAGGCAAACATTTTCTCTAAAAGGCCAAGTAGCAAATATTTAAGGCTCTGCAAGCCATGGGGTCTTTGTTCGAGTCACCCAGCTTTGCCAGCTTTTCCTGTAGCAGGAAAGTGGCCACACACAATACAATAGGTAAACAATGGGCACGGCTGTGCCAATAAAACTTTATAAAAGCAGGTAGAACAACAACACGCAGCCTATAACAACATTTAAAAGGTGTCAGTTGGTTGGGACTATGGCCTTCAGACTATGCTAGTCTATGTGTCAAGTGTGGAAGTTCGGCTTTACAAACCTGTTGGTTTCTACTGTGACTGCTGAGATGTGTATATTGTCTTCCTCCTCTTCTTTCTAGATTTGTAGTTCAATAGCTCAGGTTGCTGAAGGAGCAACCTGATGTTTCTATAGCTCAGGGGTGAGCGAAAATCTAGCCTACTGCCTCTTTTTGTTCAATAATTTTCATGGCTGCCTTTGGGCTACATGGGAGGAGGTCAGCAATTGATATGGAGAACTCAGGGCCCCAGAGGCCTAAAATATTTCCTACTGGGCCCTTTACAGAAAGCGTCTGTCAACCCCTGACACATATATAATTAACTAGCATCTTAACTAAAAGCCAAAATACAACAAGGTAGTCTGTTGCAGGTCATAGATTCTCAATAAGTATCTGTCTCAGGAATGTTCACCATTCACAGACAAACCTCATAAACAGGTAAATGGAAAAGTACTAATTTTTGTACCACCAAAAATAATTCTCACCTCATGCTCTGAACTCCCTGAAGCCACCTTTCTGGGCCACGCTGTCACTGCCAGGGAACAGCGGCTTTGCCTCTGGCCAGGAGCCTCCTCTATGATCAAAACTGAGGCCAGGAGAAACTGAAGAAAAGAACAACCAATGGAGGGATGAGAACTTAGTCACATATCCTATGTACACATTTTATGGTAAAAAGTAGGATTCTAAAAGTTTAAACAAACTTTTTATTGAGAGTTTTAAAATGTTGGTATTTGCAATGCGGGTGACTGTCATCTCCCTGCCTGCGCCGAGGAAGGTTGGGAGCTGCAGAGGGGTCACTCCACTGTTTAGATCTGCTGTCACTCTTCTTCTAGTTGACATGGTTTAAATCTGTGTCCCCACCCAAATCTCATGTTGAAATGCAATCCCCAGTGCTGGAGGTGAGGTCCGGTGGGAGGTGACTGGATCATGGGTGCAGTTTTTCATGGTGCCGTGGTTGCAATCCTGAGTTCTCATGAGATCCGGTTGTTTTAAAGTGTGTGGCATCTCCCCACCTCCCTCTTGGTCCTATTCCTGTCATGTGAGACATCTGCTCCTGCTTTGCCTTCTGCCATGGGTCAAAGCTCCCTGAGGCTCCCCAGAAGCAGAAGCGTCCATGCTTCCTGTACAGCCTGCAGAGCCATAAGCCAATTATAAACCTCTTTTCTTTACAAATTACCCAGTCTCAGGAATTTCTCTGTAGCAATGCGAGAATCAACTAATACACTAGTTTTTTGGGCTTTGATGGAGGCTGATCCATTGTCTTACTAATATTCCCTGAAAATGTGAGCCTCCTGGAATCAGCAGGGACAGAGACATGTATGGACTCGAACTTTTAGAGATGCTGCCCATGACTATCTCCCTCAAATGCAGAAACAGATGGGATACTGAATTGGTCACACTCATCTCCTGCCCCTGGGGTCACTTTGAGAGTTTGCCTGCTATTTTTTTTTTCTGTGGTATTAATTACCTCCTGAATATGAACCTCTTAAATTAAAGTACACCAGCCGACGGACCCTAGAAGAGGGTCCTGCCACGCGGAAGTTGTGCTGCATCACCTGGGGCCGGTGGTGCCCTATGGAGGTTGGCGTCCAGCACCTTGGACACTTTAGGTGCTTTCATAAAACTTCGAATGAGGACGGAGATGGCCCCTGGGATAAAGTTCCATGTTCCTGCGGAGGCCTCTTCGGCTCATTAAGGCAAAAAGTATTAGCTGCACCTTGCCGCTGTCCCGGATCCGAGTGGGGAGCACCGTGGTGAGCAGGTCCTGGTTCCACCCAGAGGAGCTTTCCCGATGGCCAGGGCACTGCTGGCGACCTTCATCTGTTGGTACATTTGGGGAGTTTCTCTTCACCATGAAATTGTACCCCTTGGTCTCACCTAGCTGCTCAGCCAACCCTGACAGCCTCCCCTGGAGTTATTCTTTGCTAATGAAAACGCGGGTAGTGACAGGGACAGCCCAGGTGTTTTACTGCCTTTCCAGCCTGTCAGCACAGAGGTACCCTGGCTTGAAAGGGCCCTGAGGGGCCATGGCAGGGGAGGGACTCCAGAGGGGGTCACTCCACTGCTGGAGTGGCTGGGGTGGCTGACTTGCTTCTTTGTCATCAAGGCTTTCAGTGTGGCCGGGGCTCCTGAGGAAGGACAAGAGGACGAGACCATTTATAATCACCCCGTGTTGGAAGAATCCTTGTCACCATGTCTCAGTCCCCGACGTGCTGTGTGAGGACGCAGGAGCTGTGAGGAAGTGTGGAGCCCTGGCGGGGATGGGGGAGGCCTGCTCTGTGAGTGGCCTCGGGGGCCCTTGTCACAGGCAAACGTGCAGCCCCTGCAGGGCCCAGCAGCAGGGCCATGGGCGAGAGTACACGGGCCCTGCCACGTCAGAGGCACCATCCCCCGCCAGGACCGCCGTTCTGTTTTCTGATCCTGAGTGCAACTTCACCAACAAAAGCTGCACCGCCTTTCCTTTCCAGTCAGGAGAAACGGGTGGTCCCATCCGTGAAGAGGAGGTTGACGGGCCTGTGGGATGTGAGGAGAGATCATCATTTTAGAGAAGAAAAGGGCTGTGCGGGGGCAGAGATGGCTGGAAAGAACCCACACCTCCCCTGCTCTGTCTGTCTCTCCCCCTCTCCATCTTTTTCTGTTTCTGTCCCCCTTTGTCTTTTTCTTCTCTCTCTCTATCTGTCTTTCTCTGTCTCTCTTTTCTCTCTCTGTCTCTCTCTTCTCTCTCTCCCCATTTCACTGTCTCTGTCTACCTAGTTGTCTCTGTCACTCTCTATCTCTCTTTCCATCTCTCTGTCTCTTTGTTCCTATGTCTCTGTCTTTCTCTGTTCCTCTCTCTTTCTATCTCTGTCTCTATCCCTCTCTGTCTCTCTGCATCTCTATCTCTGTCTCTGTCCCTCTCTGTCTCTTTCTATCTCTGTCTCTGTCCCTCTCTGTCTCTTTCTATCTCTGTCTCTGTCTCTCTGTCTCTGTCTCTCTGTGTCCCTCTCTCTGTCTCTGCCTATCTCTGGCTCTGGGTCTCTCTCTCTGTCTCTCTGTCTCTTTCTATCTCTGTCTCTGTCTGTCTCTCTGTCTCTGCCTGTCTCTCTGGCTCTCTCTCTCTAGCTAGGGGATGCCAGTGGACTGGACACCTGCTGTTCCCTCTCCCAGCCCATGGCTGAGGGTGGACCTGCCCGTTCTCTTCTGCCCTCGTGGGGAGACGCCCAGCTACTCTTCTGGTCCGTGGCTCCTGTTTTTTGGCTGCTGCCTCCAGGGTACCTGGCTGCTTCTTTCTAGGCATGGCAAGCAAGAAGGAACCCATTTTGCACACATCTGCGGGGCTTTCAGTCTCCTCCTCTGATGTACTCAATCGGCCTTGAGAGAGAAGGGTCCCTGCAGAAAAGAAGAGACTTTGCCTGCAGCAGCCGTGGGCCATGGATCCGCTGTCCCCTGAAGTCTGTAAGGTTTTGCTACCTTAGAGGAAGCTGAACTGCTCTTCCATAGCTTCCATCAAGCCCCCGGGAGCCTGGGGCTCTGCCGGGCCAATTCTGGAATGCTGGCAGGGAGATGTGGGGCAGAACAACAAAAAAACATTAGTTATCTTTACAAGGCTCTTAATGATGGGGTAAGCATGTTCAGGCTGCAATCTAATATGTAAGGGTAATTACACTGAGTTATGCCCCACCTCCATGGCACCCCTCACGTTAACTCTTTCCAGCCCTAGTGGGTAGCCAGTAATGTTAGGGAGCCTCCAACCGGGACTTCCTGGGGAAGAGGACGGAAAAGCAGTCTTGAAAACACTTTTATGAGTCAACGTGAGGCTCTGCTATATCTGAAGAGGTCACTCGACCCTGATTTTAGGAGAAAACCACTCTTTTTCTTCCCAGAATGGCACTTGATGGCAAGCTGCCTCTGAGAGGACCTCACTTCAAGGGCTAGATTGCAGTGTCAGGAAACAGGAGTTTTGTTGTGGTGCCTCCTGAATTTCCTCTGGGAACTTGGAACAAAAGCAAACAAACATAAAAGCCCCCAAAGGTCAGGAGACCTGTCAGGCCGTCAGTGCCGCCTCCTTCTGGGGGTCCAGAAATGCAGCCAGGTTCACCACTGTTTTCTTGTCTGGGGGACACACGCTTGGAAGCACACTGTTTTCCTTCCTTCCTTTTATCAATGTGTGATTTAACAGGAGCACCGCTCCCCTGACTTCCAGGAGCCCTCTGGTTGGACCACCCAGTTCACAGTCACTTTTGCCACAAAGAGCTGTTTATTGGAAGATCATTAAAAATCATACTTTGGGAATTCATTGTCTCTTTGTGTGTTTTCCTTAAGATAATTTTGATGTGTAAAGAAATGCTTTTTCACAGTGGCCCTCGCTTAGTCTAAGTTTAGTTGAGGAAAAAAAAATGGTTTAATTTTTTTCATGAGAATGACCACGTGCCTAGTTTCACTTCATGGGGGAGTGTGATGATGATGTTGCTCACAAAATAAAGAACCAAACAAAACAAAGATGAAAGAAGCGTGACACATTTCTTTGGTCAGGAAATATTTGTACTGGTAGTATAGTTTGCTGCATGTGGGTTTCAGTTGTAATATCTAAAATATTCCCACAGATTGAAAACACATTTATATTCTCCCTTGTTAAAGTTAACTTCCAGTAGGAGGAATGCATAACATTTTATATAGTGGGAAATATAATGAGGAATATTGGTTCTTTGAGCAAAAAAAGAAACTTAGAGAAAAAAAACCTAGTTTGATGGTTTTCAAAATTATTTAGTCAATGGACCTCTAATACACACAGCAGAAGAGAGGAGAGCTGATGTGTGGTGGCTGGGAGCCCCCTGCTCCAGGAGCTACCATTTACCCCGGCCAGGACAGACTTAGGGGTCTGTCTTGAGCCTGGGACTCCATGGAATAGGCAAAGGTGTTAAGGGGCATGTGGGAAGAAAGCGAGAAAGTCTACCTATTTGTATCTCATCTTTAAAGAAAACATTTTTGTGACTTTTTACAATGTATATAACATATTGACGTGGTAGAACAGATACATACACAGTCATGCCTCGCTTAACCACTGGGTTATGTTCTGAGACATGCGTGATCAGGGCTGGACACAGTGGCTCACGCCTGTAATCCCAGCACTTTGGGAGGCCGAAATGGGCAGATCACAAGATCAGGAGATCGAGACCATCCTGGCCAACATGGTGAAACCCCATCTCTACTAAAAATACAAAAAATTAGCGGGGCGTGGTGGCAGGCGCCTGTAGTCCCAGCTACTCGGGAGGCTGAGGCAGGAGAATCGCTTGAACCCGGTAGGTGGAGGTTGCAGTGAGCTGAGATCGTGCCACTGCACTCCAGCCTGGGTGACAGAGGGAGGCTCTGTCTCAAAAAAAAAAAAAAAAAAAAAAAAAAAAAGAAATGTGTGATCAGGTGATTTCATTATTGTGCAAACATCATAGCGTGCACCTACACAAACCTGGATGGTAGAGTCTGCTACACACCTAGGCTCTGTGGTACAGCGCATTGCTCCTAGGCTACAAACCTGGACAGCAGGCTGCTGTACTGGATACTGGAGGCAATCGGAACACAACAGTAAGGCTTTGTGTATGAGAACATAGGAAATGTTTAAGAGACTTAAAATATGATACCAGGTCAGGGCCCTTACCGTGAGTGGAGCTTACTGGACTGGAGGTTGCTCTGGGTGAGTGAGTGGTGAGTGAATGTGAAGGCCTAGGGCATGACTGTGCACTACGACAGACTTTATAAACACTGCACACTTAGGCTACACTACATTTATTTTTTTAAATTGTCTTTAATAATAAATTAGCCTCGGGAGGCTGAGGCAGGAGAATTGCTTGAACCTGGGAGGCAGAGGTTGCAGTGAGCTGAGATCGCGCCATTGCATTCCAGCCTGGACAACAAGAGTGAAACTACGTCTCAAAAGAAAATAAATCAATAAATACATAAGCCTTAGCTTACTGTAACTTTTTTACTTTATACACTTTAATTTTTTTAACTGTTTGACTCATTTATAATAGTGCTTAGTTTAAAATGCACACACATTGTACACTTGTAGAAAAGTATTTTCTTTCTTTAGATCCTGATTCTATAAGCTATTTTTCTATTTGAAATTTTTTTAGTTTTTTGCTTTTTAAAATTGTTTGTTAAAAACTAAGCCACAAACACACACATTAGCCTGGGCCTACACAGGGTCAGCATCATCAACATCAGGATCTTCCACTTCCACATCTTGTCCCACTAGATGGTCTTTGGGGACAATGACATGCAGGGAGCTGTCATCTGCTCTAATAACAGTGCCTTCTTCTGGAACCCCTCCTGAAGGACCTGCCTGAGGCTGTTTTACAGTTAACTTTTTTTTTTAATAAGCAGAAGTATACGTCAAGTAATGATAAAACATATAGTATAGCAAATATGTAAACCAGAAATATAGTTGTTTATTATCATTATCTAGTATGATATAGTGTACACGATTGTATGTGCTATACTGTTACGTGACTGGCAGGGCAGTGGGTTTGTTTACACCATCATTAGCCCAACCATGTGAGTGATGCACTGAGCTGCAATGTTACGATGGCTGTGGCTAGGCGATAGGAACTTTTCAGCTCCATTATAATCTTATGGGACCCCCATCCCTCCCTGACCAAAATGTCATGCAGCGAATGACTATATGTCATTTATAAACACAAAAATATACATCTCCTGGGAGTAGCTTCTGAAAACTTTTACTGTAGGGACGTACAATTTAAACAGTTAGGAGACAAATGCTTTAATGGATGTAGTTTGAAAAACACCGGTCTAAGGTGTCTCTGGTCTAATGCATCTGTCCTCTTTGTGCTGTGAGCAAGGTGGGAGATGACGTGCCTTGTTAAGTGCAGATACGAAGCTACCCTCAAGGACCAGATGGGAGCCCAGGCTCCTGACTTGCTCACCCGTGCCCTCAGCATCACACCTGGTGTCTGCCAGGCTCCCAAGCTCCGCAGGGATGGTGATTGAATACTTAGCGCCTTCAATTGGCACAATCCCCACCTGATTAACCCTCACCCACCAAGTCCTTTGAATTTTTCTTTCTACTCCTTCCCTTATAAACATCTTCCTATAACAAACAAATTTTCTTTTTTTCTCCCCCCAGATAGATTCATGGAAATAAAAAGTTTTTAAAAAGGACTAATCACTGACACGTACAAAAGGGAAGAATGAGCACACACAGGATTTAGGTGTGTCCCAGGGAAGAATGAGCACACACAGGATTTAGGTGTGTCCCAGGGAAGAATGAGCACACACAGGATTTAGGTGTGTCCCAGGGAAGAATGAGCACACACAGGATTTAGGTGTGTCCCAGGGAAGAATGAGCACACACAGGATTTAGGTGTGTCCCAGGGAAGAATGAGCACACACAGGATTTAGGTGTGTCCCAGGGAAGAATGAGCACACACAGGATTTAGGTGTGTCCCAGGGAAGAATGAGCACACACAGGATTTAGGTGTGTCCCAGGGAAGAATGAGCACACACAGGATTTAGGTGTGTCCCAGGGAAGAATGAGCACACACAGGATTTAGGTGTGTCCCAGGGAAGAATGAGCACACATAAGATTTAGGTGTGTCCCAGGGAAGAATGAGCACACACAGGATTTAGGTGTGTCCCAGGGAAGAATGAGCACACATAAGATTTAGGTGTGTCCCAGGGAAGAATGAGCACACATAAGATTTAGGTGTGTCCCAGGGAAGAATGAGCACACACAGGATTTAGGTGTGTCCCAGGGAAGAATGAGCACACACAGGATTTAGGTGTGTCCCATGTCAGGGATGAGGCTTTCTTGATTGTGAGTTTAGTCTTCAATGCTGACGGAAGCTGGATGCAGCTGCTTTGTGAAGAAAGGCTTTAACAGAGGGCCATATACCTATGTATGGGCCATATGCCTATGCCTTAAGTTCCGCTGTGGCAGCACTGTGCAAATTCAGACATGCTGTGTTTCCATTATAACTTACTTTGTAATTCAACACATTTTGTAATTCCCCTTTTAATTTCCTCTTTGACCCATGTGTCATTTAGTTTTTAAATGTTTGAAAATTTTCCAGATATCTTTTATTACTGATTTTTAATTTAATTGCATGGGGGTGAGAGAACACACTTTGTTTAACTTGAAATGCATTAAGATCTGTATTGTGGCCCAAAATATGGCTTATCTTGGTAAATGTGCTGTATGTATCAGGTTGGTGCAAAAGTAATTGAGGTTTTGCTATTACTTTCTTTTTTTTGGCAGGGATGGAGTTTTGCTCTCGTTGCCCAGGCTGGAGTGCAATGGCGTGATCTTGGCTCACTGCAACCTCTGCTTCCTGGGTTCAAGCAATCTCCTGCCTCAACCTCCCAAGTAGCTGGGATTACAGGTGTGTGCCACCACGCCTGGCTAATTTTGTATTTTTAGTAGAGACGGGGCTTCTCCGTGTTGGCCAGGCTGATCTCAAACTCCTGCCCTCAGGTGATTCACCCACCTTGGCCTCCCAAAGTGTTGGGATTACAGGCATGAGCCACTGCACCCAGCCCATGCCATTACTCTCAATGGCAATAACCACAATTACTTTTGCACCAAACTAATACTTGAGAAGAATGTGTATTCTGCTATTGTTGGATGGAATGACTTGTTAATTTAGATTAGCTCAGGTTGGTTGATAGTGTTGCTGAAATATTCTATATTTTTGATGCTATCCGATTTTTTTTTTGCCAATTATGAAGAGAAGGTTTTTGAAATCTCCAACTGTAATTACAAATTTCCCTGTTTTTCATCTCAGTTTCATTTTTTTTTTTTGCTTCATGTAGTTTTGCTTCATGTATTTCTTAAGGGGGTACACCTTTAAGATTAAGTCCTCCTGACTGATCAACCCCTCTATCATTACAAAATGACCTTAATTCTACCTGGAAATAGTCTTAGCTTTAAAATCTACTTTGTCTATTATTAAAATAGTAATTCTAGCTTTTTTGGCTAATGTTAGCATGGCACATCTTTTTCTATCTTTTTACTTTTAACCCACTTTTGTCTTGATTTTAAAGTATAGTTCTTATAGCCTGCATATAGTTTTGCCTTGTTCTCTTTTCTAGTCTGACAATATCTGCCTTTTAATAGGGCTACATAGAGACTTACTTTTAATGTAATTAATTTGGTTAGATTTACATCTATCATCTTGCTATTTGTTTCCTACTGATCTTTCTTCACTTTCCTTCTTTTTCTGTCTTTTTTAGATTATTATTTATGTTTCATTTTTATCTTTGTTTTTGGTTTACTAGTTCTAACTGCTTTGTTATTTTAGTGGTTGCTTTAGGATTCGTAGCATGCATCTTAACTTATCATAGTTTACCTTCGAGTGATATTATATCACTTCATGTGTGGTATAAGAACCTAACAACAATTTACTTCCATTACTTCTCTCCTGGCTTTTATTTTGCCATTGTTTTACATATATTATAAATCCAAAATATAGTGGAATTATTTTCATTTAGATTGTCAATTATCTTTTATGCAAACTTAAATAATGAAAAGATCTCATCCATTTGCCCATGTAGCTACCATTTCCAGTGCTCTGTGCTTCGTTTTGCAGGTCCCTGTTTTGATCTGGTGCCATTTTCCTTCTGTCTGAAGGACTTTGGCGAACATTTCTTCTGGTAAGGAAGTCTTTCAGCTTCTGTATGTCTGAAAACATCTTTATTTCACCTTGACTTCTAAAATATGTTTTTTTTGGCTAGGTGTAGAATTCTAGATTGACTATTGTTTTCTTTCAGTACTTTAAAGTGTTCCTTTGCTATCTTCTTGCTTGCATTTTTTCAGTGAGAATTCTGATATTATCCTTATCTGTGTTCCTCTGTATGTAATGTGTCTGTTTCGCTGGCTGCTCTTAAGACATTTTCTTTAGCACTGGCTTGAGCATTTTGATTACAGTATGCCCTGGTGTGGTTTTCTTTATATTTCTTGTGGCTAGTGTTGATTGAGTTCCTTAGATCTGTGGATTTATAGCTCTCACCAAATTTGGAAACGTTTTAACCATTTTTTCCTCAAATATTTTTCTGTCTAGACTCCAAGTATACATATCTTAGGCCACTTGAAGTGGTCCCAAAGCCCAGTGATACTCTTTTCAATTTCTTTTGTTTCTGTTTTCTCTGTGCCTATCATCTGAACAATTTATATTGCTACATCATCAATTAACTAATCTTTTCTCTTGCCATGTCTCATGTGTCATTACATTATAGTTAGCAAAACTATACTTTTTGTCTGTAGAAGTTCAATCTGGACTTTTTTATACGTTTCATTGATTTTTAAAATTAATTTTGGAACATTTAGAACATGATTATAATAACCGTTTTAATATCTTTGCCAATTCTAATATATGTCAGTTCTGGGTTGGTTTCAATTAATTGATTATTTACTCTATTAATAATTATGTTTTCCTGCTTTTGCATAGGTCTGTTAATCTTTGTTGGAAACTTTACTTTGTTGGGTGCTAAATATTCTTGTATTTACTTTTACTATTAGCAATTGGAAATAAGGCCCATCCACAATCTTCATCATTCACCTGTCCAAACTGCAGCATCAGCTCTAAGCATTTCTCATTATAGGTGGAGCCGATGGAAGCAACTGGTTAAGGAAAGAGCTTCTGTTGCTTCGGTGTTCTGTGTCTTTAAGAGATGTCGTTCATTTCTTCAAAAAATACTTAACTGTGCAAGGTGGGATATGTTGGTGAAGAATGCAGACACGGGCCCTGCCCGCATGAAGCTCTAGGAATGCAAGATCTGCATTTAGTACAGAATCACAGGCGGGAGCTATATACAAAAAGGACAGAAATTCAGGGCATGATGAGACCACCTAACAGAATAATGTAGTTCAGGCAGGTGGACAGTTAAGCAGTGGGAAAGACCTGACAACATTTTTTATTTTAGGTCATCATCCAATCTATGGTGTAAAAAAAGTGCAGCTTGGCAGCATTTTGGAATTTATAGTACAACAGAGGAACAATGGCGATTTAGCTGTTCGGTGTTTTGAAAAATATATTTTCTGATTCCAAATACCTCCTTCCTTCCTTCCTTTTCTTTTTTTTTTTCTCAGAGTTTTGCTCTTGTTGCCCAGGCTGAAGTGCAATGGTGTGACCTCGGCTTGCCACAACCTCCGCCTCCCAGGTTCAAGTGATTCTCCTGCCTCAGCCTCCCGAGTAGCTGGGATTACAGGCATGCGCCACCACACCCAGCTAATTTTGTATTTTTAGTAGAGATGGAGTTTGTCCATGTTGGTCAGGCTGGTCTCGAAATCCCGACCTCAGGTGAACCCCCTGCCTCGGCCTCTCAAAGTGCTGGGATTACAGGTGTGAGCCACTGAGCCCGGCCCACCTCCTTTCTAACTTGGGTCATTTCTGACTCCTTCAAATAACAAGAATATTCTTTTCAAATCTGGGGATGTATTCAGTCCACATGGTCATAGATCTTAAAGAAGTCATTTTATCCTTCACTTCCCCTTTTGCTGGGTGTTTCCAAAGTCTCCTAGAACTGAGCTAAAACAGTACACTTGACTACTAGAGCTGAAGTTTACACACAATTCTGCAGTGTAAAACTTTTGTTTCCAGTTCTGTATCCTTTAGACGAATTATTCTCCTGTGCTACAAATTCTATAATCTCAAATTTCTGAATATACCGAGAACGAGTGATACCAGGATTTAAAGCGGACCACTGGGGGGTTCATTAGAGTTGAAGATGCTGCGATTAGGTAATATCCCTCTGAAGGATTTTTGCAATTCACTTGATTATACACAGCCATAAGCTATTTTTTAAAATCCTGTTTGCTGGCCGGGCGCGGTGGCTCACGCCTGTAATCCCAGCACTTTGGGAGGCCGAGGCGGATGGATCACGAGGTCAGGAGATCGAGACCATCCTGGCTAACACAGTGAAACCCGTGTCTACTAAAAATACAAAAATTAGCCGGGCGCGGTGGCGGGCACCTGTAGTCCCAGCTACTCGGGAGGCTGAGGCAGGAAAATGGCTTGAACCCGGGAGGGGGAGCTTGCAGTGAGCAGAGATCATGCCACTGCACTCCATCCTGGGTGACAGAGCAGGACTCCATCTCAAAATGAATGAATAAATAAATAAATAAATAAATAAATAAAATCCTGTTTGCTGTAGATAAAGAAAGTCATATTATTTAAGGTAATCACAAAATGCCACACTGCACTGCAGACAAAACTTAGTGTCTCGCTCAGCCAGGTTCTGAGTTGCTTTGTGTTTATCAAACAGGAGGGCATTCGGTGCTCCTGCTCATATACCTACTTGTAAACGTCTCCACAGACCCAGTTCATGCCCCCATCTCAAGGCATGTTTGTGTCCTGTTAAAGTGGTGACCTTATCTTTGTTAAGTGTACGCATATGGCTTGAAACACATTAATGACTTTTCAAAATCATTCAGGTATTTGTGTGGTAATTTCAATTAACTAGATTTCAAAGCAGGTGGGCATGCCGCCAACAGACGGACCAACCCAGGGGTGGAATTCTGGCATTTTCTGTCGCATACCCCATGCCATTAAGGGAAAGTGTTTCAAACAAAAAGGAGGAGTCCAATTATGCCAAGTTGTAAAAGGGGTTTTTTTTTAATGTTCTGTTTTTACAGTAACTTAAGGTTTTGTGCCAAGCCATAAATATTTCTAATTTTAGCTCAGATCATTAATCTCAGACACTGTATGCATCTTTGTCTATTCAATTCCTAAACTCTACATTTTGGAACAGCCTGGAGAGAAGTAGCAGGTCCTCTAATTATCTGACTCTGCACTTGTTCACCAACAGTGCTTCTGACCACTCACAGTTAATCCGCGGCAGCACAGCCAGGCGCCTGTCAACTCTAATGGATTCATCACTATTAATAAGTTAGGCGCCTAATTTCCTACGAGTTGGCACTAGCAGTGACGCTGAGAACAGATCACATGTCTCAGCTGACGTGCTGATTCTTCCCTGCTGAAACGGACCTTTCTGCCAAAGTCAATGAGAAAAACTGACAGTGCTGGATGAGTAACCCTCCATCTCATGCAGGGCATTTGGCAGCTTGCACCCTTTTGCAAAACACAGCACGTTTTTAAAATTCCTCCAAATAACGATGATAATAATAGAGATACTTATCGAGAGGGACAAGACTGGTTTTCATATTTTCTACCAGGAGCCCACAAAAGTAGAACTGATGTTGGCAGCAGCAATTTAGGATCACTTGTCAGTGTAGATCGATTCTCAAGAGCCTGCACCACACTCCACTGCCTGCGTTGTTGGCCAAACAAATGTGTATCATTGACCTAAGTTGAAAGGCTAATTTCTGGTCTGTTGGAAAGGATCGAGCAACTGAGAATGAAGGCCTTCAGCAAGGCTCTTAGCCTCTTGGTTATGGAGAAATGTCTGGAGAGCTGTATACTGGTTTCTATTTGCTCAGTAGCCAGACATGCCTCCTCAAAGTAATGATGTCCAGAGAACTGATGTGATTTTGCAATTTTACTCTCTAGATGACCTGGGCATGCTCTGGGCATTAAGTGCTAATTCAGAAGATGTGTACTCCCAGGAGAGACAGAAGGGTGATGCTGAGACAGGAGACCATCTCTGGCACCCAAGACAAAGCACTGGGAGACACAGCTCTCCTTTGTGTTACATCAGAGGCATGGAGAAATAGGCCATAAAAATTCAATGACCCAGCTTCGCCGGTTGCAAAATTCAGATGTCGCTTTTATAGGGAGGAGTCACTGAAGTTTCAGGGCTCATTCTACTTATTAATTTGTGGAATAAACTGAAGGCTAAAGAAAAGAAAAAAGATATGAGGTTTTTTTTTAAAATACCATCTTGAATTCTTACTTTTTTTGCTGACAAATCCACGTTATGTCTTTAAGTTCAAAAACATTTCAAATTCAAATGTTTGTTTTAGAGTTTAGAAATGCATTAGAAATTTGTATACTACCCAGAATGATCTACAAATTTCCTATCAAAATACCAATGGCATTCTTCACAGGAAAAGAAAAAACAATTCTAAAATTTGTGTGGAACCACAAAGACCCTGCATAGCCAAAACAATCCTGTCCAAAAAGAACAAAGCTGGAGGCATCGCACTACCTGACTTCAAAGTCTGCTGCAAGTCTAAGTAACCAAAACAACATGGTACTGGCGTAAAAACAGACACATGGACCAGTGGAACAGAAGAGAGAACCCAGAAATAAATCCACGTATTTATATCCAGCTGATTTTCAACAAAGAGTCCAAGAACATACACTGAGGAAACAATAGTCTTGTCTTTGTTAAGGCCTCAAAAGCACAGGCAACAAAAGTAAAAACAGACAAATGGGATTATATCAAACGAAGAAGCTTCTGCACAGCAAAGGAAAAATCAAAAGAGAGAAGAGACAGCTGGAGAATGGGAGAAAATATTTGTAAACTATTTAATAAGGGATTAATATTCAAAACATACAAAAACTCAAACGACTCAACAGCAAATAATAATAATAATCTGCTTAAAATATGGGCAAAGGAGCCACATAGACACTTCTCAGAAGAAGATGTACAAATAGCCAATAAGTATATGAAAAAATACTCAACATCACTAATCACCAAGGAAATTCAAATTAAAACCACAGTAAAATATCATCTCACCCCAGTTAGGATAACAAAAAGACAAAAAGTAACAAATGCTGGTGAAGATGTAGAGAAAAAGGAAAACATTATGAGAAACAGTATGGAGGTCCCTTAAAAAGCTATAAATAGGACTACCAGATGATCCAGCAATCCCTCTACTGGGTATATGCCCAGTATGGATTTGGATTTCTTTTCAATCCAAGGGAAAGGAAATCAATATGTTGAGGAGACATTTGCACTTATGTGTTTATTGCAGCAGTATTCACAATAGCCAACACATGAAATCAACCTAAATGACTGTAACAGATGAATAAAGAAAATGTGGTACATGGTACATATATACAATGGAATACTATTCACCAAAAAACACAAATCCAGTCATTTATGCCAAAATGGATGAGCTTGGAGGACATTATGTTAAGTAAAATAGGGCAGACACAGAAAGACAAATACAGCATGTTCTCATTCATATGTGGAAGCTTAAAAATTTGAAAGTAGGCCGGGCACGGTGGCTCATGCCTGTAATCCCAGCACTTTGGGAGACCGAGGCAGGTGGATCACGAGTCAGGAGTTCGAGACCAGCCTGACCAATATGGGGAAACCCTGTCTCTACTAAAAATACAAAAATTAGCCGGGCATGGTGGCGTGTGCCTGTAATCCCAGCTACTCAGGAGGCGGAGGCAGGATAATTGCTTGAACCCGGGAGGCGGAGGTTGCAGTGAGCCAAGATCGCGCCACCACACTCCAGCCTGGTGACAGAGTAAGACTGTCTCAAAAAAAAAAAACACAACAAAAATGTCTAGGAGCAGAGAGTAGACTAGTGGTTACTGGAGGCTAGGACGGGTAGCAGCAGAGATTGGATAGGGAGAAGTTGGTTAATTAATACAAAATTACAGCTAGGGAGGAGGAATAAGTTCTAGTGTTCTGCAGCACTGTAGGGTAACTATAGTAAACAACCATTTATTGTATTTTTTCAAATAGCTAGAAGAGAGGATTTCGAATGTTACAAACACAAATAAATGATAAAGATTTGAGGTGACAAACTGCTAATTACCCTGATTTGATCATTATACATTGTATACATGTATCAAAATATCACATTGTACCCCCAAAATATGTACAATTATGATGTATCAATTAAAAATATAGACTTAAACATTCTTATATGTTAAATGAAAATAATTTAGGAACAGCTATACTCTAAAAGAAAGTGTTCTGATCATATTCTATAAGAACAAGAAAAAGGATGAGAATGTGAGGGAAAGTTGGTTTCTGTGATAACCTCAAGTCTAATTAGAAGCAGTAATACATTGAGGCAGTCACAGAATCGTCTGTTCTAGTGATACACCAAGAAAGAAGTATTAATAAGTATTTAATATGGGTGTTCTATAAATTATCCCTCTAAAGTTTTTGTACTCTTTTGAGCTTCTTGAATATGTGAATTTCTTTCTCAGCAAATTTGGAAAATATTTGGCCACGACTTTTCAAACATTCTTCTAGAACCCTAATCGCACGCACTGCATCTATTTGAGAGCTTTTGGTTTGGTTGCTGAGGCTTCTTCGCTCGCTTTCTTTTTATCCCTTTTTCTCTTTGCTCTTCAAATTGGTTAATTTCTATAGATTGAAGTCCAAGTTCACTGAATCTTTCTTTTGACCTCTGCACTCTCCCGTTATGCCCATTTAGTAAAATTTTCATTTTAGATATTGTATTTTCAGATCTAGAATTTCCATTTGGCTGTGCTTTCCTAGTTGTTCATTAATTACAAGTATAATTTCCTTTATGTCCCAGAGCTGAGCTTAAAAATCCTTATCTGTTCATTACAACATCTAGGTGATTCTGGGTCAATCTTCATTGAAACTCCCCTTCAGTTTCTTCGAATATCTGATTTTGGATCCTGTTCTGGATGTTGCAAATGATTTGCTGTAGAGGTTCTGAATTATGGTATATTTCTCTGCAGAGTATTGAATTTCCATTTTAGCAGACAGTTAACTAAACTGGACGGAAACTCCAAACACTGTCTCTCTAGTGTGGTGCCTTCCTCCAAGTGTGGACTCCCCTTACTTCTGCCTGCTTCTCTCCAGTGCCTCCAGATAGTTGTTTTTTAAAAATATTTTGACTAGTGTTTATAGCTGTTACTTCCAAGAGATTTAGTCTGATAGGAGCTGCTATTCTGCTACCAGAACCTGGAAGTCCTTTGCACTCTTTTGAACTATCAAATTTTAGTGATATTCCTACCTCAGGAATCTACTTCTAGGCATTATCGTTTATAAATTGTATCTTTTCTATGGCATGTTTTGATTGAGCTATCAAATCCACGTGCAATGTGCTATGATGGAAAATGCCTGCTGGGGGTGTCAGGAGACCTGCTTTCCCTAAACCTGCTGGCCTTGGACTGCCCACTCCCCCCTTATGGAGCCTGTTGTCTCACGCATGAAGTGTGCAGGCCTGACTGCTGACATTGCTGGAAAAAGCAAATCTCAGTAAAAGATCAGGGGGATGCTTTTATTCTGAAAAAGAAGCGTTTGATGAAATAGGAGTTTTTACATCTTGGTGGGAGATAGGCCGTCCTTGCCCCCCACCCACACCCTTACGTTTAATTTTTAAGCCCAAGTGATGAACTTCTAATTGTAGAAGCAGGTGTACATTTAGGGTTGAGGTGAGAACATTTCAGAGGCCAGGTAGGTCCTCTAGGTCTCTGTGAACATGCACGCACCCCCCTGCCCTAGACACATCTCTCATAAGTCTCAATCTAAGTCAACACTGAAAATAGATCTTAAGGCAAGAATTTTGTCCCTTCTGTATTCTAAATGTAAACTAAACTGTAAGTCCATGTGTAATTATTCTGGCCTGGAGGCTGCAGTGCTATATACACACTGCGGCACTGTGAACACTTCCCAAGTTTATTTAGTGCTGAGTGCTATGCCGTGCATGTCAGAGCTGAGAATAATCCTGTCTGTGGTCTCCACTCCTCTGGGGCATTCTTAGTGCTCTGTGACTAACATGCAGGACCTGTCATGTGAGCCCCAGGAAGGGCTGTTGAATCATGCCAATCTGAGAGGCCAACAACACGTCAATTAACTGGAAACATTAACTAGGAGCAGGGTGGGGGAGGGGAGAAACGTGAGTTGGGGAGAGAGAGACACACACACACGGACAGAGACGGGAGAGGAGAGAGAGATGAAGAGATAGAGAGGAGGAGAGGGAAGGGAGGATAGGCAGGAGAGAGCCAAAAAGATAGAGAGTGAAAGGAAGAGAGAGATAAGAGAGAAGGAAAGATGAGAGGGAGGAAGATGGAGAAAGTAGAAGAGCAGGAAACAACAGTTGGAGAGAGAGAAAGAAGGAGAGAGAGAAAGAGAGACACTGAGCCCTGGGGACAGAGGGAAGGACAGCTGGGCTGGAGGCAGGGGGCCTGGGAGCCTGGTCAAGTCAGTCCATGAGGCTGCTCTGAGACGTCACTGGGGGCAGGGAGAGAGTTATCCAGAACTTTAGTACAGTCTTCTTTCTAGAAAACAGTGCTACCAGAAAGGGCTTATGTCCAGATCTGAGGTGCACTTACTTGTTCCCGAAGATCCAAATCTAAGTTGCTTTTAGATTCTACTCTGTGCTTCCACGGAGTCTACTCTAACGACCTTGGCCAGGTCTCTGGCCTCCATCAAGGAACGACCAGAATTCCTGGGTCTGGCCACAGGTTTTGGCCCCGCCTCAGAGGGTTGGGTGAGGGGGCTTAGCAGGTGTAGGAGAGCTTGCTCTGGGCAGTAGCTGTGGGCCTTACTTCTGTATTTGCCGCAGTATCTGATTTGCCCTGTAGAGCATTTATGTCACTAGGTTTTTACAAAAGTTGCTTTTTGACTTATTGCCTTAGTGACGAGTTGTCAGGTTTTTCTCTGTTTAAGTGGCTACAGCTGAATAGCTCAGGCCAAACTTAAAGCTCACACTTGAGACTTGACGTGCTCAGCTCCTGCTAAAGAGGCTCCAGGGCAGCGCCTGCCTTTCCGGGAAGCTCCCCTGAGGGTCACCGAGGCTGCAGAGAACACCCGGTGATGACTGCATGGATCTCCTTCATCTGCTGGGATTCAAGCTGTGTTGCTGGTGAGGCAAAGGGCCCCTTCTCTCCAGGTTCTAGCACAGCCTCACCACCAGGAGCTCCTTCCAGAAACGATGGTGCTGGCAGCTCTGACTAAACAGTTAGGCCAATAGGGAACTAGAGGAGCTGGGTTCAAACCTCTTTTCCAGTATCTTGTTGGGCTGAGAGCCCTTGGAGGAAGGGTTTCAGTGTGAGTCTGGAGAAAAACAGATCCAAACTCAGCGTCATAAAAACATGCGGTTGGAACACCTGTCCTTCATCTGGCTTCAGGAGAGGGCTACAGGCTTGAAGATGCTTCTCCACAACTCCGGAGAAAGCAGCATTTGCCCTTTGTTTCTTTGGGAGCTGCCAGGGCATGTCTTACAAGAAATCCCTACTTCCACCCCTACTTCCACAGCTGACCCACCACATATGATGTGTGTGTCAAAGATGACCGTCAATAGTTAGGACGTCAGCTGAGCCTGTGGCCTCCATCGGGTGGGAGGTGGTCCTGGTGAAAAACAATAGTCAAATGGCCTCAACCATTCCCTCTCTCCTCGGGAAAGCTGTGATGATGGTGGAGTAAAGGGGAGATGCCTTTCCAGGCCCCATGCAGTTGGTGTTTCTGTTCTTCATGTCGCCAGCTGCATTTCCATTTTGGAAAGGCTGGGCTCCTCAGGTCACTCCTAGGTTCCCATGTTTCAGTGAATTCCGGGACGTGAACACTCAATGCTGAAGGCAATCTGTGCGTGCCATTCTCTGGCATTTTTTTTGTTATTTTATTATTATATATATTTTTGGAGGCAAGGCCTTGCTCTGTTGTGCAGGCTGGAGTGCAGTGTGATCAGGGCTCACCACAGCCTTGAACTCCTGGGCTCAAGAGATCCTCCCACCTTAGCCTCTCAAGTAGCTGGAACCACAGGCATGTACCACCACACTTGGCTAATTTTTTCTTTTAATTTTGTTTTTGTAGAGACAGGGTCTCACTATATTGCCCAGGATGGTCTTGAACTCCTGAGCTCAAGCAATCCTCCTGCCTTGACCTCACAAGGTGCTGGGATTACAGGCGTGAGACTCTGTACCTGGCCAGGAATCCTATTATGAAATAAAAAATTGAGAAAAGAAGAAGGAAACTGGGCGTCTCGGCCAGGACTGTGAGCTTCAGGAGCCAGGGGTGCACCTAAAGTGGCATCTTCATATCCTCTCTGGAGGCTGAGCTCAAGGCCTCCAAGGGGGCAAAGGCCCCAGGGTGCTCATCAATCAAAACATCAGTTGTGTGTTGGGATAGACCTTCTAGAATGTCAAGGAGTAATTTGAAAGGACTGCATTTCTCACCACGTCCCACCCCCCAAACCCCCACCCCCGCCAGTCTGGTGTGTTGCTGCTGAGCTCCATTCTTAGATGTGAAATATCACGCGATGACACTGTTTGTATCCCTGTCTGTCTATGTGTCTCTCTGCAGCTAGTTTTCAACAATACGCTCTTTCATTTGAGTGGAATGTCAAGATTCCTGAGCCAGACCAAGTTCACTTGGGAGAACAGGCTTTCCAGATGTGTGGATGAGAGGCTGGGAAGGGAGGGACGAGGCATGTGCTTAGCGAGCCGGATGGGAATACTTGGCCATGAAGGGCCAGCTCTCTTGGTAGCAAGGCTATGGGGAAGGTCTTAGTGGCTTTTATCTTGAACTTAAGTCACCCTCTCCCCTGTGTTTGGACTGCATTTGGAACGCTTCCAAGACATTTCTATAAAATTACTTTTATGTGTTATAAAATGAAATATGTAGTACCAGGGACAAAGAAGTAACGATAATCACAATTACAGCTGCCACAAAAGTAACATCCAGACATCAGGTTGTGGTTTCCAGTCCTGTCTTCCCTCCGCTGTGTGATGTCAAATGAGCCATGTGGCTTCTCAACACCTACGTTTTCTGTAATACTTATTGATGATCCATCAGCAAATGGTGCTTAATTTCTTATTCACATATTGGAGGAGAATTTGTGACTAATTGTGCACTTTCATTCTTTCTCAGCTTCTAACTACTTGACACAAGCTGGGCCAAACTGGTTCACAAAATGGATGGCCATTGGATAACTCCCAAAATGTATGTTACAAAAGGATGCATAAATGTATAATAAAAACAGCTCTGCGATTGGGATGAGTAAAATATGGCTGCTTAATCTTCATATCACGAAAGGCCATCCCAGGGTTCTCCTCTGGTAGAATTTACAAGATTTCAACTGCAGTAGTCTTCAAAAGTAGGAAAGATACGATAGATGTGAAATGATATCCAGAAGTGGATGGACATTAGGGCTTCACATTTTTCGAAATGTGTCTAAAATTTTTGAAATTTGTTTACAGTCATGCCCTGAAGCCCACAGCCCTGCCCTGTAGCAGACGTGCAGTTCGTGGTCACACCACCCTTTCCTGAAAGACGTGACCATGGCGCAGTGAGAGTGGTCAGTGGTGTCTCTACTCCTTATGATCCAGGGCGCTGTCCATTCACAGTTTCGAGGATATTTGCTGCATGTTCTCAACTCCCTAATCTGAAAAACATCACATATGGTACATGGAAAGTTTAGAATGACAGCATTGGTCTCTGACTTTCATTTTCTCTTTTTCTCCTTTTTCTTTGTCTCTCCCTCCCTGCTCCTCCTACCCCAGTATTCTGCTCTGCTGGCACTCCCCCAGCCCCATCCCCAAACCACACACACACACACACACACGCACATGCGTGCGCACACACATGCGCACACACATGCACATGCACGCACACACGCACACACACACACTTCATTGGTTCTTCCTGCAGTGGACAACTGTTAGGTTTTGTCATTACTGCTGCTGATGGTATTGCTTCACTGGCCAGCATCTGGAGTTCCATTCTGCATGTTGCATGTAGGGAGAGGGGGATCTCCTCAATGTATGAATCTTAGTGGTGGGCAGGGTGCTGTGTCCATTTGTAAAACCCTGAAGGGGCCAGGCATGGCCTCTTCCTTCCCCTGGCATGTTGATGTGGGGCCAGCTTTGGGCAGCTGGATGGCTCGTGCGAGATTCTGAACACAGAAGGAGGTGCAAAGATGCAGAGCTGGCAGGAGGCCGTCTGTGAGAGGGAATGGTTCTGTGGACGGGTCCTTGGCCTCTCCTCGGCCACCCAGATGGTCCTGCTTCCTGCGAATGTCACAAGCTTGCTTCTTGGCCTTCCTGGTGATTTCATAGATACCCAATAGCCTTCCAGGAAACCTTTTTTTCTCACTACTTTAGCCAGAATCCATTTCTGTTATTTGCCACCAAGAACTATGACTAGTACATAGGGGTTCAGACGGTCTTCATTTTCCTCCATTTCTATTTGCCGTGAAAATAATTTGGCTCCTGGTCATTATGGTTTTGGTTGTAGAAAATGCACAGCCAATATGTGGAGGAAGCATAATTCGCTTGATTTAGAAACACAGACCCATCTGCCTGAGGCTGGCATCACAGTGGGACTACTAAAGCTACAGAGGCCCGTGAGTGCAGAGGCAGGGGCGGCTGCTTGTTCACGTAGGCAGTTGTGCTGCTCTCTGTCTAAAACACCCAGACCTCTTCTCCAGGCCACTGCGGTGCGCAGGCCTGGATGGGCAAAGTGAGCAAGGGCCCCTCCTGTGATCCAGCAGACGGGACTCTTTCCATCTCAGTCCCAGTATGTCAAGTCCCACCTGAAACTTTAGCTTTATAGAAAAAGAATCTCTCGTCATGTGCAAATTCTGTTGTCAGACAATGAAAACATCACAGCTCAACTCATTTTTCCTTCTAGGCTTAGTTGGTAGAATTCCTACAGCCAGGCTTGTTATTCAGATGTGTTCATCTTTTCGTCCTGGAGCTGGCGAGCTTCAGTCCTTCTTCCTCATGTGATTCTTTCTTTCTTTCTTTCTTTCTTTCTTTCTTTCTTTCTTTCTTTCTTTCTTTCTTTCTTTCTTTCTTTCTTTCTTTCTTTCTTTCCTACTTTCTTTCTTTCTTTCCTTCCTTCCTTCCTTCTTTCTTTTTCTTTCTTTCCTTCCTTCCTTTCTTTCTTTCTTTTTTTTCTTCTCTTTCTCTCTTTCCTTCTTCCCTTTTTTTTTTTTTCCTGGAGTCTCTGTGGCCCAGGTTGTAGTGCAATGGTGTGATATCGGCTCACTGCAACCTCCACCTCCTGGGTTCAAGTGATTCCCCTGCCTCAGCCTCCCGAGTAGCTGAAATTACAGGCAGGGACCACCACACCCAGCTAACTTTTGTATTTTTAGTAGAGACAGGGGTTTCACCATGTTGGCCAGGCTGGTCTTGAACTCCTGACCTCAGGTGATCTGCCCACCTCAGCGTCCCAAAGTGCTGGGATTATAGGCTTGAGCTACGGCACCCAGCCTGTTTGTTCTTTATGCTGTAGTTTGATTTCTAAGTCTGCGTGAGTTGCAGTATAAAGCATAGTAGTAAGTCTGTGTCTGTATACATGTGTGTACATGCAGTGATGCCAGTACCTGTGCATGGAGATGTCACCAGGGCGTGGCACCACCTGAACCCCACCAGGTCCCGTGTAGCTCCCCCAGTGATGCTCCATGTCCTCAGGGTGGAAATGAGGTCTCTCTTAGTGCAGCTATAAATAAGAGCCCAGGGGCCGCCCCCACTGTAGCTCCTACGCTTTCCTCTTTTTACACGGTATCCAGAGCTGAGTTGGAAGAAAAAAGTATGTTTCTGAACAGAGTATGAATCTGTGTGATCATTTTGAATTTTTGTCCAAGTTAACACTTTTATATATACCGTGTGCCAGACATTGAGACAGAACCCTCTGGTTTGGGCATTTGCATAAAAGACAAGGCTGAATAATATTGGAGACAGGTGCAGGAAGGGAAAGTCAATAGATATGAACTTAAAGTGACAGTTTGGGTCCCTTAAGGTCGCCAAACTAAGCAGCAACTTCTCTGGGCCTTTCCCCCTTATACACAGGCTGTGAGGACCCAGATTTGGTGAGAATGATGGTTCTTTGTGTTTTTAAATCAGCAACTTCTCTGGGCCTTTCCCCCTTATACACAGGCTGTGAGGACCCAGATTTGGTGAGAATGATGGTTCTTTGTGTTTTTAAATCAGCAACTTCTCTGGGCCTTTCCCCCTTATACACAGGCTGTGAGGACCCAGATTTGGTGAGAATGATGGTTCTTTGTGTTTTTAAATCAGAAAGAATCAACAGATAATTGGCATTTTACTCTATTGCTAACTTCCCGGCCAGCAGCCAGACCAGAGTGTCCTGTGGTCACTGAAGTCACCACCTGCTCACCCGCCATTGTGGCATATCCCTGGATTCTTTGGAGAGGTCCCCCTCACCTCCTGACTTCCCATCCCTACCCCTCGTCCGGCCAATTCCGACATGCTCAGACCTCCAGCCTTGGTGAAGCCCACAGCGTGGCACCACCCGTACTTGTGCAAACTTGGGTCACTCCCTTGGTTTTCCAGGACCCGCTTCTACAACTATAGAATGACTGATTGATCTGGGTCAAAACCAGGTGTATTGGGTCCCTTACATTCTATATGACAATGATTACCCTTCTGGACTGAGGGTAGGTGGCAGCTGTGAAGCCTTGGAATGCATTAAAATCCCATTAGGTGGCACAGGGTGTAAACATGAGCCTAAATCTGTTGGGCTTCAACAGGTAAATACTCGACTCCTGGGCAGCAGCTGGAACGTGTTTTCACCTGCCCTTCATCCTGAAAGCTCCCCAAGGACTTTACACCCACCAGAGGCAGTGCAGGCTGGTCCATGGGAGCCCCCGGGGGGAGCGATTTGTTTACCTCCCTGTCTTGGAATTTACCTCTAAGAGAGACCTGAGAACGGGGGTGTGTGGGTTTGTTTGCTAAAATGCTGAGGCTACTAACATCTGTGGAATCATGAACTGTGAACCCAGGTAAATCCCTTTCAAGACATTTCTGCGGGATTCAGTGCTGAAAGCTTGTTAATGTGGAATACTTTAAAGAGGGAGGTGAAAAATTTCAACAGTAGAATTAATACCCCAATTAATCTGTGTTGAATTAGGGGAGCTGTGCATGGTCGTCATTCTTTTCACAGGTGACTCCTTCCCAAGTGCCATCCACACGTCCCCAACCTCCTCCTGGCCTGTGCAATCCCCATGACACTGTCGTCTTTCTTTCTTGCCAACTGGAAGGACTTCAGTCTATTTCTATCAATAGAATGGGGAGAGAAAAAAAGCAAACACAGAATTTTAGTTGCTTTTCAAAAGTACCAAGCCTACTGCTCCAGAAAGGGTGGTGAAAGGAGGTGATTAAAAAATCACCAGTGTTTACTTCCTGTATAGACAAAAGAGGAGCAAATGGTGAGGAAAAATCCTTGAGAAACACTCACCTTTCTCACCCAACACAATGGAGCATAGAACACCAAACGTGCCCAAGCCTACAGACTCAGCCGGTTCAGATGGATCCTGGATCGGGTCCATATAGAAAAAGTCTTGGCAGGGGTTGCCAAAAGGGTTATTGAAAACCAGGGGGGACAACCTGAGAAGGACGTTCAAGTTATCTATTTCCAAGTGAACCATCCATCATAGTTTGCTCAGAAAGTCCCACTTCATGCCTGGTGTTCCAGCGTAATCATTAACAGCACCCAAGTGTGTGCCAGTTTGGATGATAAATAATGTGGCTGCCCTCTCTATAACCCTAGCCTTCAGAATTTTTTTGCTTAGTTTTTTAAATGTTTTTCAGAACTCCCATTCCATTGCACATGACCTGTGCCAATCAGAACTCCCATCCCATTGCACATGACCTCTGCCAATCAGAACTCCCATCCCATTGCACATGACCCCTCTGCCAATCAGAACTCCCATCCCATTGCACATGACCTCTGCCAATCAGAACTCCCATCCCATTGCACATGACCCCTCTGCCAAGTTGATTTTCCTTAAGCACTGCTTTCACCATGCCACCAGCTGCTTTACACCTGCCTGTAGGATGGTGTCCTGCGTGCTTGGGTGATCATGTGAGCCCCACATGGGCCTCACTCAGATATTTGCTCGGTGCCTACTATGTGCATTGTACTGTGTTCATTATCAGTCCACACATCCTTCTAGGATTGCCCTCTTGTTAACCCCTTTAGAAGAGCTCACAGAGCCCCTGAGTTCTACCTATCAGCCCCTTTTGGGTCTTGCCCACCCTTCTAGTCTGAGCTTAGCAGCACCTTTCATGGATCACTTGTGCCCATGCTGCTCCCTGTCTACCCATCATTAATTCCTGACCTTTACTCATCCCTTCTACCTCCCACAGCAGGGTATTGCTGTTAGGAAATTGTGTCTTTTAACTAGTTTGGTTATAATCTAAGCTGCTGTTAGGAAAGACTCTAAATGTAGTGAATTAATTAGGATGGAATTTCTTTCTGGTGGTCACAGTCCAGGGGTGAGTGGTCTAGGGCTGGTGCGGTGGCTCTGTCATGCTCAACCTGTGACCTCCCAGATGGCGGTATCATTGCCATTTCTAACCAAGGGGAAGGGGCCAGGAGAGAATCCACAGGAAGGATCTTTCTCTTATGGGAGACTGTGCACTGTTTTACACTTCACTCCTACTCACAGCCCATTGCCCTTCATTTAATGCATCTGGCCATATCTAGTTGCAAAGGAGGCTGGTTAATGTATTTTTATTATTGTTTTGACCTGGCAGCCATATGCATGGCTAAAACTTAGGGGGTTTTATTACCAAGAGGAAGACAAAAGTACTGGGGGGATGGGGCAGTTTCTGCTGCAGTATTCATTAAAAGTGGGTATCTCTAGCTAGAATCTGAGCATCTCAACCACAGAAATCTTTCTCCTTCTTTTCGTAGAGCCTGTACAAAGTTTCACAAATAGCTTGTGCTAAAAAAAAAATTCCATTGATGGATACTGCTGTCCATTCACTTTCACATCCTGCATATAAAAAATAGAAGGCCTTAACTTCTTATTTACATTTAACTAGTGATTGCATTATTTGAATGTTTATGCTGATTTAAGTCAGGCACTGGGTCCACTTTGACACATTGCAGTGAAACATCAGTGTGTACCTTGAGTCTATTTTGACTTTTTCCTGCTTATCGATGGCAGACTCAATCCCATTTTGAGGGACACAGTGACACGTTTGTCCTTCCTCAACTGTCTTACTGGCCTTACCATGTTTCGTATCCAGTCTGATCACTATTTTCCAGGCTCATGGTACAGTTTTCAAATACTCTGCACAGAAAGAAGGATTTGGTTTTGAAAGAAACTGAGATGCCTCTCATATTCTTAAAACACAGACCTGGGACAAGAGAGCATCCATATCAGGTTTGTGATGTGGTCATCCTAGGATGACAGTTGAGTGTGACAGCATTGCTCTTTGGGACACAGGCACTCTGATGTTTCTGGGCCACATATAAGCCTTACTCTGGCATGACATTCTTCTCTAGTTTGTTTCAGAAGATCGTGGATATCTTAGAGTTCTGTCTCCCTGTTCTTCTCTGCCTTCTGCTCTGCTTGGATCTGGGTCAGAGAATTGAGGTAGAGGCACCCACTGTGCTTGAACAGCATAGCGTGAAACAGGAGAGTGTGGGTACTGGATGTCTCCGAGACCAGGGCCACAGGTACCAGTGGGCAGTTCCAGGAGTTAAGTCCAGCTTTGTCTGTTGAGGTTAGTTGATTGAAGGTCAGCATTAGGGCCGAATCCAAGAAAAAGATAGTACCCCACCTTGTCTCAGGCATCCTTTATGTCTAGGAGAAGCCCAGATTTTCACCTTGCCAGAGGTGGAATCCTTGCTGACCTACAGACAGGGATAGTCCTGGGCCATTCCTTTGAACTCCCAGAGCCCTCGACACCTAAAAGCCCTTGGTCAGGACTGATGGTCATGTAAGAGGATCTGGTTTGAGTTTGGGTGTGCACGGGTATGTACCCGTGCGTATTTGGAGATGTGGTCGGGTCCCTAACTAGTTTCAAGGGGCATGAGCTGCAGTGGCTTTTCCCTTTTGTTGGATACTGTGAGACCGGAGTTGGTTAGTGGCTCTCACGTGTGACAGCAGCATACGATTTCTCATCTGTTTCTGATTCTGGAGGGTCTTAGAAGGCCAGGCGGGTCCCATCTGTAAAAATGGAGAACCCTGTGAAAACGCCTCAAGGGCTGGCTTTTAAGGTGTCTCAGGGAGGTCTCAGCTAGTGACAAGCCAATCAAAGCCACCATTTCTTATTGGACATCTGTTTGTCCTCAGAGGGGCTTATTCGGATTCTTCCCACTTAGGTCCCTGGGAAACCATCTGATACTCCTGCAGCCAACGTGGGACAGGAAGAGCATAAGCAATCGGGAGATGCTTCCTTATTGGGAGCAGCACTGGCACTCCACGCAGTCGTTACCTGATGCTTACAGCACTGTAGATCTGTCTGTGTCATGGGTGCCCTTGGGCAACGTCTAGCTTGTTGACTCCCCGGATTCATGCTTAATTGAAGACCTAAAAATAAAGCTTTTCTGTCCCTGGTTTAGAATCAATGCATACTTATACAATGCAAAAAAAGGGAAAACAGCAAGTAATTAATTTCACCACCTAGCGATTATTAATGGCTAATACTTCGCTGTGTGGATAGACCATGCTTCCCTCATCCTTCCTAGGGTCTGTGGGTCCCTGATGGCATATCAGGTTATTTTAGCTAGTGTGAAGATAAATATCGTGTGTTTTTTTGAGACAGGGTCTTGCTCTGTTGCTCAGGCTGGAGTACAGTGGTGCCGTCATAGCTTATGGCAGCCTCAAACTCCTGGGCTCAAGCAATCCTTCCTCCTCAGCCTTCCAAGTAGCTAGGACTACAGGCATGTGCTACCACACCCAGCTAATTTTTTTATTTTTTATTTTTATTTTTATTTTCTTTTTTTTAAATTATACTTTAAGTTCTAGGGGTATATACCCAAAGGATTATAAATCATGCTGCTATAAAGACACATGCCCACGTATGTTTATCATGGCACTATTCACAATAGCAAAGACCTGGAACCAACCCAAATGTCCAAAAATGATAGACTGGATTATTTTTATTTTTAATAGAGATGTGGTCTTACTACATTGACCAGGGTGGTCTCAAACTCCTGGGTTCAGTGATCTTTCCCCCTTTACCTCCCAAAGTGCTAGGATTTCAGGCAGAATCCACTGTTTCCAGCCCAGATAAATACCTTTAATTTAATAGTTTAGTATTCATTTTAATGTATATCAGGAAAAAATATCTAGCTACTCTATGTATATGTTATGTCATG